>NC_000004.12:86951684-87103199 GCF_000001405.40 Homo sapiens | reverse complement strand
AATGGCAGCAAGAAAAAAATTTTTTTCTAAAGTTTTTGATTAAAAAACATGTACAACATCTACTTTTTTTAAGTTACAAGTCATAACTAAGTTATGCTAATATAGAAAATTAATCATGAATGCCATTAGAATTTTTTTTAAACAGAAAATCTATGTAGCTGAAGACAGTTTGATGACAGGTGAAGGATTTTTAGGCCTAAGGACAAATTTTAAAGGAATTTAAATTTCTTTTAAATTTAAGAGGCTAAGGTCCTCTGCCTGTCCCACAAACTGTATTTGAAGCCAAGCACATACTATATGTGAAGAATCAGTCGTTGAATGTGAAAAATGAGGAGATGAACTACAGCACACCTGGGTGAGCACCTCTGTCCCCATGACAAGAGAATCCAAATCTCTTAGACCCAGTCTCAGTCACGGCAATAAAGCCTAGGTCAAGAGAACAGAAAGCTCAATGGATATGCTTCTTCTTTCTCACCTATAAATTTTTTTTTAATTAGGATCAAATCATTTTCACCTTTTATATTCTGTCTAGAAACTGGTAGGTATCCTAAAACAGCAGGCTGAATGAATAGGACCCCTTTGTTGAATAACAGTATCATGTAGCTGTGCCCACTATGTGATCAGAACAGACACTGCTTATCATTACAATCCTGTGTGGTGGCTTTTGACCATCCCTTCACATTCTAAGGATGAGGAAAACAGCCACCTGACATGCCCAAGATCCCCTTGTTCTGGCCAATGTATTACACAATGGTTAGAAAACCCAACTGATGGAATTAAATCTAAATTCCAGAACCCACCAAGAGAGAGACTTTGATTTAAAATAAAACTACTTTCCTATTGGAACTCAATATGTTATGTTTCCCTTATGAAGACAAATTAACTTTTAAACCTTATATACTTTAACTGGTCAAATAACAAGTTTCATTTCCAAATGCCAAGTCAAGGCAGTTATTTCAAAACATATACAACCGTATTACCTACTTTGACACTGTTCAAAAGAAGCCAAATCGCTCAGGTAAAGCAACTCTTTACATGTAGATTTAATCACATTTTACATTTGGTTAGGTAAACTTTTTGCTTACAGGTAACAAACAATTCTCAAAACCCTTTGTACAACTGCTTTTTCAGGCAGCTGTTCTAGCAAAGCTTAAAGAGCCACATACAGGTTCTGGCAGACACGCTGCAGTGAGTCAACCCGATTGCTACTGTGTGAAGACATAAAGACAAGTCGCCATTTATTTTCCATTTCTTAGTACTGGGCTTGCCCAAAGCTTTCACTGCCAATATTTTGTAACATCTCAATTCAGACCCAAAAAGTATTTACATAACCTTATTTCTTGGCTTAACATTTCTTAAGATCACTTTGAGAAAGAGTAAGTGCTCATAGTAGTTACTTAAAATTAGTAAGTCACAGCCATGGTATCAGGTGTGCTAAAAATAATAAGAAAAGTAACACTTTTCGGGAACCACTAACAAGTATGTGAGAATGTGTAAACTTATAGAATCTCACAAATCTGAAACTGATCCGGGGATAGGATGGGCAATGGCACACAAGGCAGGAGAAAGAGGCTGGGCTCCAGAGCACATCCAGAATCCCAGGATTTTTTTTTTTCTTTTTCAGACAAGGTCTCACTCTGTCGCCCATGCTGGAGTGCAGTGGCACCATTATGGCTCACTGCAAACTCTTCGCCGTCCAGGTTCAAGTGACCCTCCTACTTAAGCCTCCTGAGTAGCTGGGACCAAAGGTTTGTGCCACCATGCTTGGCAATTTTTTAAAGAAATCTTTTGTAGAGACGAGGTCTTACTATATGCACAGGCTGGTCTCAAACTCCCAGGCTCAAGCAGTCCTCTCATTTCAGCCTCCCAAAGTGTTGGGATTACAGGTGTGAGCCTGGCCGTAGAATCCTGGCATTTTCAAAGCAATCAGGCTCTGATTCCTTTCTTGATGTATGCCAGAAATAAGGACTGCCCGTGCATTCTAAGAGATGGTGGGAGGTTACAAATTACGAAGCAGGCTAAACGAAGAAGAGATGAAAAAGTGAAAAGGTAGATCTCCAGCAGTTGTGACACAACATATAATAGGAAATCTCCAAATGGTGACAATAGTTAGAAGGCAGAATTCAAGTTCATGGGAAACTTTCCACAGGAATTATGGGGTAACAAGATAGAGGGGAAACTGACTCTACATGATTAACTCTAGTGAAAGAGGTTAATGGTTGATATGATAAAAATGGTGCTGGAGTTATAAAAGATTATTTAAACTCCATGGACGAAGTGAAGATTATCTGATGTCAAATAAGGAAATGAGAAAAATCACAAGAGTGTAAATGAGGGAAAATCTGAAGTTAAATCAGTAGATTAAATCAGTAAGTATGACAAGGTAAAAGAATGATATACTTTTAACAGAAACAAAATCTAAAATATTACTCTAAACCATGTCTATTAAATACTGTATATAGGTATTCAATCAAGTTTATCGTGTAGAATCTTTCCTTCTGCATTTATTCTGAGCACTTACTATGTGCCAGGCACTGCTCTAGACCCTATGGCTACAACTCTGAGCCGAAAAATATCCCCGCTAGTCTAGAGGAGGAAGACAACTAAAATACACCATTTCTCAATGGGTAACAAGCTTGTGGAGGGAAAAGGATAAAAGAGAAAGGATGGCTAGAGGTCACTCTTTTATACAGGGTAGTTAGGGAAAACTACTGATAAAGGCCACCCCAGGTCACAGCTGAAAGGAGGGAGAGAGCACAATGCAAGTCTTGTGGGGAGAGTCATCACAACACCAAAAAGAGCAGGGAGGCCAAGCCTGCCAGAATGGAAAATGGACATGTGTGTCAGGGACAGGCCGTGGTAGGGGATAGGTTATGGAGGTTCTTGGAGGCCCTTGCTAGGAGGCAGGAATGTTAATATGCTTGTGAAAGTGGACCACACCTTGTTGGTTTAACAGCCCAGCATCCCACAGAGAGGGTAAAATACACTAACTACCCTTAAGGCTAAGATTCCTAGCAAATTAAAATATATTTTATTCAATCTTTCAATCTACGTTTAAATTAGCCTAGGGTCACTTATTGTAGTAAATTAGCAGTTATGATGTAAAATGACACTTAAAGGGACCCTTAAGGGCTCCCCAAATCCAGGTTTTATATATGCAAATGAGCTCTTTCAAAGTAATCACTTAAAAAAAGACTCCCTCAGGTTTTCAAAAGCTTTCAAAGCCTACAGCATAATCTGTCAAGCCCCTTTCAAGGTGGCAAATAGTCTCTGCCTTTCTCTTATCAAATGTCACCCTCTCTGGGAGACCTTTCTGGACCCCTCTTTTCCCTGAAGTGTAACTACTATCCAAAGAATTCCTCTCAACCCTGTCACTGTCACATCCCTTGCTCTGTATTATATGCCACCTACAGTTTGTTACAAAATATTTTGTCTTATTGACCACAGTTTCTCCAAGTACCTAAAGCAGCACCAAGCACACAGCATGTGGGGGCCGGGCACAGTGGCTCACGCCTGTAATCCAAGCACTTTGGGAGGCCAAGGTGGGCAGACTGCCTGAGTCCAGGAGTTCAAGACAAGCCTGGGCCAAACGGCGAAACCCCGTCTCTACTAAAAATACAAAAATTAGCCAGGTATGGTGGTGTGTGCCTATAGTCCCAGCTACTCGAGAGGCTAAGGTGGGAGGATTGCTTGAACCCAGAAGGTGGAGGTTGCAGTAACCGAGGTCACCCCACTGCACTCCAGCCTGGGTGACAGAATGAGACCCTGTCTCAAAAAAGGAAAATAAAAAGTGAGATCAACACTTAGTGAAAAACATTTTAATAAATGTTCTATGATGGTGAAGGCTTAATGCAGATCTACAAATGTACAAATAACCAGCACAAATGTTTGTTCCTTGTTTTTGGGAAGCGGAAGAACTGTGAATAAGGGATGTAGATATTACTTCAATGTCAAGTTCTAAGCTTTACACATGGGGCAGATTTCTACCACTTCCATAATATTTATCAGCAAATTGTACTCTCAGTTAGACCTGCCATTGAAATATCCAGGTTCAAACGGTATAAGCTAATATTTGAAAACAAGGAAAAATTTAATTTCCTTAGGCTAAGCATGATTTAAATATGCTACAAGTAAAGCATGTCTTTGGACTTAATTCTAGAACATTTCAGCTGACACTACTTACATCCTGATGTGACAATTTTATATTACAATAAACAGAATGAGTCTTCCCTTGCTCTTTACCAAAATATTTAAAAGCCAACAATGTTTTGAGTAAAAGTTGAAAACTCGGGCTCATTTGAAAAGGTATCAGACTCACCCCAGTCTTTACTAACTTGGCAACAGTCTTTCTCATCCAACTCGAGGGACAATCCCAATCTCAGCCTTCACATCCAGATATCTCCCTCACTTCAAAAGAAACCTTCCACATAAGTAATAAATATTTCAAATTGCTATAATGACTAATTTCTGTCTCTTATTTTAAGTAAGTGTTGATTTCAGAGGCCAAAAACAAGAAAAATAATGGAGGGCACCTTTTTGTAAGGACTTGGCAATTTTGGGGTAGGGGAAGAAACAAGTTAGCTAGAATATACAAATAAATTGCTTTTTTAGTTTCTAAAATATTAACATTTTTGTCCTCTTTCAGAGGCTGACAAATGCACTGACACCAGTAAACTAAATCTGGCTGCACAGAAAAAGAATTGTCCACAATTATATGAAGGTCACAGTTACTGTACAGAAAAAGGAAATACTTTATACTTTGTCCTCAGCACTTCACAGATCTAAGCCTTGGAAAGGAAGAGGATTCCAAAACCAAGAGCCCTTAAACAAATACACTCTCTCTTAAACTTAGGGGCAAATTGCACTAACATCCTAGCTAATCAGTTACCTACAGAACTTTACAGAAGGAATTATTTGAGAAATAACTACATCTCAAACTACATGCTGAACCATTACATTTAATTTCACAACTACATCCTTCTACCACGTTGCTACCCCCTAACCATATCTGAGTTAATACAGACCACTCGCAAGCTTATCCTTTACTACTGGGCCTCTCTTTTATACTCTTATATGTCCTATTCCACTTGTCTAAGGATTCCCAAGTCCTCATAACTCTGAAAGAAAAAGCATTAAGACCTAGATTGGTTTTTTAAATCAAAGTGTAAATGACCCTGCAATTAATAATTTTTTTCTGATATTCAAAATGCATTAGAATATCTCCCCAGCACTCTATGTGCCACTCAAATAGCTTAACTGCATGTCAAAGAAGCCTAATGCTGACAATAGATCAAATCAACCCGCGAGCACTAAGAGATTTGCCACACAAAATCTGAAACAACTGCAATTTGCCAATTAATTTGGGACACCACTTTCTTCTAATCTCCATTAAAAGTGAGTTCATAAAAGTCATTCCTTTTTCCCAAGGATACATTTCATTCTGGCACTTATCAATACCACCACGTCTACCCCCCACATAATCACCAAGTCCACACAACCCTCATTATCTACTCGGCCTCAGTATCACTTCTCTTCTGTGTTACTCTTACCTCTCCTCCCTTCCACTAGGTCCTACTTCTACCTTCTGTAAATCTATTAGGATCATCACAAATATTCTTTCCTAGATAATTTTATATGTACTAAATTAATAGTTTTTATAAAGCAAACACTACGTGTCACAAGATATACTTGTTAGCTACTTTCAGGCACCTCTGATTTGAGTGGTTTAACACTGCTATCAAGAAAACCACTCATTTCACTGAGCAGTGTCATCACAGGAATGGTCTGTCTCTGAAAGTCTGAAAGCTGATGGAAATTGGAGTGGTAGGGTGTGACTTTTGCCTGCTCAGTCTGAGGCTACCTGTCAGGCGTAGATCAGACCCAGCTGCCTTTCTTCCTCTATCCACAGGCGAGAGACACAGTCACTACCCAACTTCGGTGCAATTGCTCCACCCACTCTACTCCTGGGAGAGCTCCTCCCCTCTATGCTTACAGTCAGTTGGGATACCCAGGCTTTAACGTCCCTTCCTGGCTGCCCCAAAGACAATGGTCAGGGCCTTTTATGGTCTACAGGGCTTGACAACCAACCATCACAAAGAAATACCTGGTGTAAAACCCTGGGGAGATTACAGAGCTTCTACAGAATTCTTACAGTTGTGGTCCTTGATCTGCAGATTCTACTCCTTACCAGCCATCAACTGGTTTAACAAACCTCCTCCTTCCTTAAATGTAATCCATGTCAGTGAGTCTACAGTCTTAGAATTTAGCAGCCAGTAAAATTTCCAAAAACATAAAGGAAGTGTGGTGGTGTGTGCTGGTAATCCAGTTACTCAGGAAGCTGCGGCAGGAGGATCACTTGAGCCCAGCAGTTTTAAGACAAGCCTGGGCAACATAGTGAGACCCTGTCTCTAAAAATATGTTAAAACATAAATATGTAAAAATTAAAAAGGAAAAAAAGAAAAGGTGAAAGGCAAAAGGGAAGGGGAGCCGGGCATCATAGTAGCCTGTGCCTGTAGTCCTAGCTACTCAGGAGGCTGAGGTAAAGAATTATTTGAGCCCAGAAGTTTGAGGCTGCAGTGTGCTATTTGGGTTTGTGAAGAGCCACTGCACTCCAACCTAGGCAACAAAGCAACCTTGTCTCCAAAAAGAAAAAGAAAAAGAAAAAAAGAGGCTAAGTGTGGAAGCTCACATCTGTAATCTCAGCACTTTGGGAGGCTGAGGCAGGAGAACTGCTTTAGCCCAGGACTTGGAGACCAGCCTGGGCAACAAAGGGAGACCCCACCTCTACCAAAAAAAAAAAAAAAAAAAAAGCCGGGTGTGTCCCTGTAGTCTGTAGTCCTCTGTACTCCAGCCTGGGTGACAGAGCAAGACCCTGTCTCCAAAAAAAAAAAAAAAAAAAAAAGGGAATAACAAAAGGTAACATTTTACTTTCCCAGCAAAAGGCATTAAAAACAACAAAAACAAAAACCTCATCATCTACCAGTATCACAAATAAAATACATTCTTACCACATGCACAAAACCCATCTTTCAGACCAAAAAAACAAAAACACCTCGTCTTCTTGTTCCTTTTCCCTTCATTTCACAAAGTACATTAAGGAATTGGCACTTGGGAAACAAACACTTAACCCAGACCCACATTTAGTCATGGCGAGGAGATAAAATAACCTCTCCAGCTCAATATATAGTTTTTTAAATAATCCATAGCAATCCCCACCTTCCAAAATACATGGAACAAATATTGTGCCTAAAACTAAAGGAAAGTTGGAGCTTAAACTCCTGGGCCACCTGAAATCCTGAGACTAGCAACACAGAGTTAGTGACAGATCAGATACTGGAGGAAGGCCTCCTCACTTAGTCCCTATGACCAGCTCCTGTCATATGAAAGTAAAGTAGTAAGAGTTCAATACCATCAAGAAATGACAAATTGGGTCAAAATGCCAATTTAAAAATCTTTAATATGCAGTCTAAAACGTTCCCATAACCCAAAATATTTCTGGACTTACTGGCCTTAATAAAGAATAGCTGGGCAATAAGATTAGCTCTTTATTAGTAAATTAGGCCAAAAAAGGGCGGAAAATCTTCAATTGTGCACATCCCCCAAAACTTGTTTCTAACAGCTAAAGCTATTAAAGAATGACATCTTAAAAGCAAAGGCCTTCTATTCCCAGAGTTAAAATGTAAATAATGGCTCAAAAACCCTTTTTCCCCCTCAAGAAGACCTTTTACCAAACTCTCCAATGGTACATAGACCTTCAACAGGGGGACTTAATCCAAATATTAGGCCAGGTGCAGTGGCTTACGCCTGTAATCCCAACACTTTGGGAGGCTGAGGCAGGCGGATCACTTGAGGTCAGGAGTTCGAGACTAGCCTGGCCAATATGGTGAAACCCTCTCTACACTAAAAATACAAAAATTAGTCAGGCATGGTGGTGGGCACCTGTAGTCCCAACTACTCAGGAGGCTGACGCATGAGAATCGCTTGAGCCCGGGAGGCAGAGATTGCAGTGAGCCGAGATCATGCCACTGCACTCCCACCTGGGCAACAGAGTTAAGACCCCATCTCAAACAAACAAGCAAAAAAAATTAATGTGGGCCCTTTCTTCCCTTTAGAATGCAGCAGTCTTATTAATGTCATTACATAAAGGCAGAAAAATCTAAGCAATGCATTGACATGAGACATTACAATTTCATACTACAAAATTTTAATACACAAAAAGCATTTCACTTACGATGACGTTCCTTGCTGAGAATTTGAGTGAGTTTTTGAAGATGTATCATATTGTTCTGTGGGGGAGAGAAACATCAAAGCAGCACAATGACACATATTTACAAGATCCTTAGTTGTGAGTTCTTTTATGTCGGTCCCCAGTTTTTACCTAAACACACTGCACTTGGTACAATCTTAGCATTATAAGATGACATTTATGTTACTTCTAGAGAGAATGCTTGGTTCAGAATCAAAAACCTCTCAATAGGCCAAAAACACTGAAAATCATTGCTTGCAGCATACCCTACCTATGACGCCAGGAACTTACCTACCTGTTGGAAGACCTCCCTGTCCTTGACAGGGGTGGAGGCCCACATGGAAGCACTCTGCCAGGGCTATGCTCCCAGCGCCCTGGGTCCCATGTGACTTTACAAAGATATTAGTGATTTGTTATCACTCTCTTTAGACAGCTCTGTCCTAGGTGCTCTCCATCCCACCTGTCCCTTCATTATTCAACTCCCCACCTGCAATTCATTCATTCAGCAGCTATTTATAGACTACCTCATAGATACCAACATGTTTAAGGCATTTGGCCCTGTCCTCAGAGAGCTCACTGTTGACTGAGGGACATGAAACGGGTCCATAAATATCTATAATCCAAGGCACTGTGAGATTAAGTACACAAGTCAATACATAAATTAACTGCCCTGGGAAATCACAGAATGGTTGCTCTCTTGGTAATACCAAAGGCAGCAAATTAAAGAAAGAACAAAATGAATTGTATCACAAAGGACAGCCAAGATTCTGGCAGAGTGATGCTGGCAAGAGAGAGAGGACAGTGGGAACAAACAAGAAGAAGAGGGTCTGAGTTTGGAAAGGGCAGGGCTGAGGTGCAGAATCTGTGCTGGACAGCACTGAAACAGGCGGAAGCAGATTTCAGAGGGCTCTGAAGGCCAGGATGGGAAGTTATGACTGTATTTGCTGGGCTATGAGACACATCAATGATCTAAACAGGAACATGACACAGTGATTCCTCAGAAGGATTACTCTGGTAGTGCTACCTGGCATAACTTAGAAGGGAGCAGGAAATGTTACGTGTGGAGGCAGCTGCATTTGTCTAGACATGAGGTAATAGGGACCTGAAACAGAATTGGAAGTGAAAAAGAAACATGGGTACCTTTTAGGCAGGGCTGAATGACATTTCCCACAAATGTCATGTGGAGACCCTTGCATATTTGCAATTAGTCACTTTGCCCTCATGGTGGCAGCAGCTCTTATATGATATTTTCAAATGGCCTCCCCTCTGTCTAGAAAGCTAGGACCAAGACTCCAAACGAGAGGGGCAGAGGCCCCTCCTCTTCAGACCATTCACAGGGACTCCACACGATCATCTTGCCTGGGTTCTAAATTCCACAGGGTCTGGGTTTTGCAATTGTGGACATATAACACTAGGGCATCCAAGTAAAATCCCCCTACCTCCCCTCTCCAGAGACTCTAAAACCTATGTACCAGTACCATAAGATCAAGTGTTGAAGAAATCAGAGTTGACTTGCTGGGCATACTTTAAGAAATGTTTGTCTTCTCTTCACTGAAAGCTATATCCATCCATACCCCACCATCCTCTTCATCCTACATGCAACAAACTAGATCCCTCTTTTTCAGGTCACATTCTCACAAAGATAAATAAGGCTGCCGGAATAGCAGAATAAAGTGACAGCAGCATAAAAGATGTGGGGGTAAGCAGCTGGTGAGCCAGGACCTCCAGGAGACCCACCAATGTTGGACAATTTCTCATCAGAGTAACAAGGAATTGACCCACATTACTGCATAGGGCAAGAGGATGATCCATCCCTGGCCAAGAAAGTGCTTATCAGTTCATCTTCAACTATATTTTGCTAAAAGGGGAAATCAAATGGTTTAATGGACTAAAGGTTCTTTCTAAACCATGAGTTAGCAATAAAACAAACCATGAGCAACCCCGTGAAAGACATGCCACCTGCATGACCAGCAACCCAAGCAGACCGAAGGTGGGGGCAGAGTGGTGCATAGCAACCCCACCCACGGCTGAGCTGGTGTTCTGCCTTCAGACCTGTGCACACTCCACTGGTCTGGGCTAGCTGCCAAGATGTGGAGAAAAAAGATTTCCCAATCTTCCCAAGCAGCCATCCATTTCAGTTAATTTTACCTAGCTACTCATACAATACTGTAGCAATATAGTCGGGTTTATTTATCTGCATTTTGGGGAAATTTTAGTTATGACTTCTTTGCAAGATCTTATTCAGTATCTCTACAGCAGGGAACAGCAAATTTTATCTACAGAGGCCAGACAATAAATATTTTAGGTTTTTTGTGCTATACTTTGTAGAATACTAGATAAATGGGTGCAGCTATGTCCCAATAAAACTTTATTTACAAAAACTAGCTGCAGGGCAGATTTAACCCTCAGGCTGAAAAAGAATTACATGGCAAACAAATATAGTGGGGCTAGACAAACTGTATGTCATATTCCTTATAAAAATTTCTTAGTTTTGTTTTTTAAAACACAAGAATGACACACTCCAATCTACTGTTGTATACAATTCCTAGCTGTGAGAGTCACATTTGGTACAGCTACTATGTGTCAGTAATACCACACTGCATTTGTTTAGTATTTCACTAAAACATCTTTATTAACTCTTTGCAACAATCTTATTTTGGTTTTTGTTTGTTTGAGACAGGATCTGTGCTGTCTCCCAGGCTGGAGTGCAGTGCCACAATCTTGGCTCACTGCAACCTCTACTTCCTAGGCTCAAGTGATCCTCCCACCTCAGCCTCCCAAGTAGCTGGGACCACAGGCACATGACTCCAAGCCCAGCTAATTTTTCTAATTTTGTAGAGACAGGGTTTCACCATGTTGCCCAGGCTGGTCTTCAACTCCTAGGCTCAAGCGATCCAACTGCCTTGGACTCCCAAAGTGCTGGGATTACAGGCATGAGCCACTGCGCCTGGTCAACAATTTTAAATCCCACATAAAGAATAGTTTTATATTTGTTCTCCTTTCCTATTCTTTCAACATAGGAAGGCCTCATCTCTGCTGGGGCATTTTTTACTAATGTTTTTACGTTAAACAGTAAAAGCTATGCTTTGTTCTCCAATCCAATAAGCAGTTTCAAATTTACTTACTTTGGTTTTGGGTTACAGAACTGACATGCTGAGAGTCCTAGAAAGAAAATAAAAATATCTAATTATTAAAAGATTAAGGCTTATAAAGTTAAAGAGAAAACCGTTGAGCTTTTAGTATTAAAAGGATAGTCTTATGAAACTTTCAAATATCTAGAAAAATGGAAACAGTGTAGAGAATACCCATACTACCCATCACAGATTCTATAATTATTTCATTATGACTTGCAGCTATCCATCTATTCAAACTTTTTTCATGCATAAGTTGAAAATATTGATTAACCTAATTTTAGCTTTCATTGCTTCTCTTCTTTCCTAGAGTTTATTTTTCCTTTGTTGTTGCACAAAGATATTTTTACAGAGCTTAGTGCTTTAATTTAAAACAAGCAATAATGAGTCACTGTTTTTTTTGTTTTGTTTTTTGTTTTTGAGACGGAGTCTCGCTTTGTTACCCCAGGCTGGAGTGCAGTGGTGCAATCTCGGCTCACTGCAACCTCTGCCTCCCAGGTTCAAGCGATTCTTCTGCCTCAGCCTCTCCAGTAGCTGGGACTACAGGTGCCCGCCACCACACCCAGCTAATTTTTGTATTTTTAGTAGAGACGGTGTTTCACCATGTTGGCCAGGATGGTCTTGATCTCCTGACCTCGTGATCCACCCGCCTCAGCCTCCCAAAGTCCTGGGATTACAAGCATAAGCCACCATGCCCGGTCCATGAGTTACATTTTAAAAATTATTAGAAAATAAGTAAATATATAAAGTAGCAAATTTGAGTTTTTGTAGATAGAACCTTTTTTTTTTTTTTTTTTTTTTTGGTGGTAGAGAGACGGGGTCTCACCGTTGTCTAGGCTGGAGTGTAGTGGCTTAATTACAGCTCACTGCAGCCTCAACCTCCTGGGCTCAAGTGATTCTCCCACCTCAGCCTCCCAAGTAGCTGGGACTACAGGTGCATGCCACCACACCTGGCTAGTTTTTGTATTTTTTTGGAGAGACAAAGTTTTGCCACATTGCCCAGGCTGGTCTTAAACTCCTGGACTCAAGTGATCCACCCACCTCGGCCTCCCAAAGTACTGGGAATACAGGCATGAGCCACCATACCTGGCCTAGAACTACTTTTCACAACAGTATCATGGAAAGGAATAGCTCTCTCACTCTCTCAATATATGTATTATGTATATAAAACAATGAACATGCATATCAGATTGAACAAAACACAGATCTGAAGGTGCTATTTCTACATTTTGAAGGTTATCCAAAAGTATAAATTAAAAAAAAGGAGAATGGCAGTGTTTTAACGCATTGTTCATAAATACTGTAACAGAAACACACAAGTCAGCAGTTTATTTGCTTGTTATTAAACCAGCACTAGTGTAACTGATCACATTAAACTCAAGAAAATGTAGGGAGTGTGAGATATGTAAGATGTATGTGCATATATCTAATTCTGAACGAGAAATCACACACTCAATTTCCCTGCCCCTCTGTTCTCCCATCTCTAAAGTAAGGATCCTCAAATGAGAGAACGTATTGGAAAATCCTGAATGCTTTTTATAAATTATAAAGCTTTATGAAAATCTAGGATGTTCTAAGTTGCAGAATAAATGTTTGAAAGCATTCTGAAGCACTGTAGAAGCTAAATTAATCATAATTTTAACCTCATTTCCAAAGATTTGAACAAGTAATACTTTATCAATCTGCCTCACAGCAATGCCTTACGCTTTTCACTAAGGTGGATGCAATGCCTGCCATACTTTTAAGGAATTACCTTTGTAGGGAAAGGAAACTTGGATGGCTCAGCTGTACTAGGCGTATGTATTGCTGTCAAAGGAGGCGGCCATGAATGGGTCATTTCCTGGAAAGATATTTGGAAAGGGAAGAAAAAGTAAATTATAAATAGAACATTCATTGCTACTTAACATTTTGAACTTAATGTAGAATGGATTGATCATAAATGGCAAGTACAATCTTAAAAGTTATTTCATGTACTTAAAAAAAACAACTCCTATTTCAGTGGGCTATGTTGAAAAGTTAAAGCTCTCCAACATAAAAAACTAAAAAACGCCAGTTTGTAGAAGACAATCAAGGTATAGAACGTGAATGAATTTAACACCCTGAATATTATCAAGCACATAAACTGTACGTAACAGGTACTGCCAGAGCTTGTGGAGCTGTGAAGACTGTAGGTGACAGGTTGGGCTGGAAAAGCAGTCTCTCCTCGATGCATTCTTTCTCCCTCAGCTTCTTTACTGCATTTCCTGGAATTATTTCAGTTCAAAGGAAGAAGAACTTTCCTGTTTGACTTAAGCAAACAAGTAATTCAGGTCACTTGTTCCACTTGGGAGAGTTTTAATGGATTTGACCCTTCCCTGATACACACTATTAGCAAATAAGAACTTTTTTGAAGGAGAGGAGCTTAAAATTACCTTTCTTTTCCATTGAGAAGCTTAATTTTTACAATTTTCTCAGTTGAAGGAAAGATTTCTAAAACTTACAATTGATATATGTATCTTGACATGAATTCTTCTAAACACATTCACAAATTTTTCTAAAAATACTTGTTGAAAACAGGTATGTCAGAAAAAAGATGTGTCAAATTGCAAATACACATACACACACAAACACACTTTTCTAAAAGGCCAAAATGGCATTGGAGACCATTAACTACAACCCCAACATCTACAGATTGAAAAAAACTGAGGTCCAAAATGATTGAGTCAAGGTACCCCAGGAAGTCAAAGGTGGTTCCCACATGTGTCAGACCTGCCCGGCAAACTGGCTTAATACTCGACATGCGGCCGGGCGCAGCAGCTCACACCTGTAATCCCAGCTTTTGGAGGCCAAGGCAGGTGGATCACCTGAGATCGGGAGTTCAAGACCAGCCTGACCAACATGGAAAAACCCCATATCTACTAAAAATACAAAATTAGCTGGGTTTGGGTGTGCATGCCTGTAATCCCAGCTACTCGGGAGGCTGAGGTTGCAGTGAGCCGAGATCGTGCCATTGCACTCCAGCCTGGGCAACAAGAATGAAACTCCGTCTCAAAAATAAATAAATAAATACAAAAATACAAAAATGAGCCGGGCATGGTGGTACATGCCTGTAATCCCAGCTACTTGGCAGGAGAATGGCTTGAACCTGGCAGGTGGAGGTTGCAGTGAGCGGGGATCGCACCATTGCACTCCAGCCTGGGTGACAGGGCGAGACTCCGTCTCAACAACAAAAAAAAAAATTGACATACAACTCTACCAGCAATCTGCGACCCCACAGCATGCTATATTACTCCACCTGTATAACACATGATGTATTCTAACGCCTCATTCTTTTCTAAGTCCTGGCTAACCTATCTCCACAAAAATGCCATTTGATCCTTGCAACAGCTGGAGATGGCACTGTAGCAAGTACTTCCACTTCCAACCTATGTGCAGGTCTCCCGTTGCCCTTCCCCATTGCAGCTCTGTGGGTTACCACAGCCTCAGGAGAGACAGCAGCGACCTCGCACAGTGACGAGTAATGTAAGTGATGCCGGCTTTCTTAATTTTTGTTAAAAGTGAACTCGTGCCCTTGTTTACTGACTGGCCATCTGCTTTGTTCAGGACACAACAGGAGATCTTTCCTAAAATATACTGGAAAGAATAATGGCTATAGCCAAAGACCCAGATTGAATCCTAACTCCAATCCTTACCAGCCATGTCAGCCTAAGTAAGTCATCTGAACCCTAATCCTCAATGCTCACTAAGAGGTAAACTAGAACCACTTATTTTCAAAGTATTGTAAGAGTACTTTATGTACCGTACTGAATGAATACTGCACAGAAGGCACTTAATAAATTAAAAGCATTACAACTTTTAATTAAAAGTCCAGTTTTAAAAGAATTTCAATACTGCACCAAAGAGAGCTTCCTGCTGTTTTATTTACTTGGTAATACTTTAAGGCACAGAACCATTATAATGTTACAACACAAAAACATGTAATAATTAATTGAGAAGGTATCTGAAAACATCACCCTTATGTTTTTCAATAATTTATTTGGAATCTCAATGGTATCTATGACTTTTAGTCACCAAATGCCTAAGGCTGTCCCAGCTATTAAATCAGGCAGTTGGAAAGTACATAAATTCTTTCAAACCCTAAGTGGTTCCCTGGTAGTCTGAAAGGATTTATATACTTCCCTACATGCCTAGCTTACTAGAGGGACTTAAGAGAACTGGGGCCATTATTAAGGAGAAGAGGCTGCTCAGAAAGACTCACAAGGCCATGATTTCACTTCCTACCTTAACAATGACTTGTCACATGAACAGAGACAAATCACTGGGACCTACGTCAGCCCTGGCCCTCCAGGCCCCACAGCTACTGTCTTTTTCTCCTTGCTCATCCTGCTCTGGAGACACTGTCTAGTTCTAATTGTTCCTCTAATACACCAACTTGATACCACCTCGAGGATTTTCCACCAGTTCTTCCCTCTGCCTAGCCTTCTGTTTACTGGCCTGTTGCATTATTCACAGCACCATCAACACCCAACACTATGTATTTCTCTTCCCTACTCTGATCTCCATGAAAGCAAGCACTCTGTCTTATTCACTACAACATCCTAGTGCTGTGGAGGCTTAACAAGTATTTGTTGAATAAACAAATGAACATATAAATAGTGCTACCACTCATTGTACTAGCATCATGGAAATGCTGCACTGAGGTAATGCTTGCTGGTACCACATTAATCCCCCAAGATACTGTGGAGGCCAGGCTTGCCTGTAAGTAGAAAATCTGAGGTGTCTCCATGCACCCACCAAGGGCATGTTGCCCTTTCTAGACCCTAGTGCATGACCATTCCCTGAAAACTAACAGTGTATGTCTGCTATCTTCTTACTCCATTAGCCTGCTGGAGTTATGGGCCACCACTTCCCCTTCATTACAACACTTCCCCCTTAAATACTGACCCCAGAGAACCAAACATTATCTTCTATGATTGATTTTCTCTGTTAGGAAACTACTTACTGCCTCTATCACCCATCAGAAAGATTTGTGTTTGGATTCCTGGCAATCTTAATAAATTGCTGGTACAAGATGAGAACGGGAACCGGGAGGCAAAGGAAAGTAGCATCTGGGTCAGCGTCAAGAGTAAGAGCTGGAATGGACCCTGGAGATCATCCGCTAGCCCAGGGCCTTCATTTTACCAATGAGGAAACCAAAGCCCAGCAGCGACCTATAACTTAACTGAGGTCACAGACAGAAGAGAAGGGGCAGACTCCAATATGAAAAGGCCTATGGCCTGTTCAGTCCTGGACGTCCTTCTGTTTGCTTTCCCAAGTTATGATTTCCAAATCATAAATGGGCATGATTTATACATTAACCACTCTCTCTCAAGCATTTCGAGGTAAGCAAGGATTCACTAACGTGATCCTGGGTGGGAAGGGAAGGAGGACGGATGGGTTCCTTCAATTAAAGATGCTTGTCTGGTGCTGTAATACCACCATTCCTAAATAAAGGATGTGACATGTCTTATTTCAACACACACCGAAACCTAAGAGGAGCATCTGACATATGCAGAAGACAACAAACCTGCACTGTTGCATTTACTTCTGAAATAATGATAGAACAAATAACGCACAATTTCAGAGGAAATGCCAAGGCCACAGTATATAATTAAATTCCTTAGTATGTTTACGACTTACCATACCAACAAATTTCAGAAACAGAAGAGGAAAAGGATGATAAAAAATGTAATCGAGGTAACTTATTTAATCTTACATGCTGGTTGACAAAAATTCCTCACTGTTAGCAGTTCAAAGTATGTTTCTCAGCCAGGTACGGTGGCTCACGCCTGTAATCCCAACACTTTGAGGGGCTGAGGCGGGTGGATCACTTGAGGTCAGGCATTTGAGACCAGCCTGGCCAAGATGGTGAAACACCGTCTCTACTAAAAATACAAAAATTAGCAGGGCGTACTGGCGCACACCTGTAATCCCGGCTACTTGGGTGGCTGAGGCACAAGAATCGCTTGAACCCAGGAGGTGGAGATTGCAGTGGCCAAGGTCACGCCCAGCCTGAGCGACAGAGAGAGACTCTGTCTCAAAAAAAAAAAAAAAGGTATGTTTCTCTAGAGGTTCTTTCTTTCTCAGAAAACCCTAACTACAAAATGGGACAAAAGACTGTGAAACAAAAACAAGCTGTTTTCCAAACAACTGGTTAGATACTACTACTGTCAAAAATTTCACAAGTGAGGAAATAACCAATATACTTAATTACTGGTTTTAGTACCACCATCACTTAATACTTTAAAATGAAAAGTTAAAAAACTAAAATTGAGTAAATGTATTTTGAGAAAATATGAGCAATAGTGATTCAAATTAACAGTCACATTTATTATATACATCTCTCTACTAATTAAAAAAAAAAAAGAAGAAAAAAGTCAGAAACCCTACAGTAAAAGACAAGAATATCATTAAAATTGACCTAGAAGCAAATTAAAGGCCACAGAAGAGGGATAAAAAATACACAAAACCCTCAGTTTTTACAATTACTGTACCTGAGCATTAAAATTAAGCTCTGGGTTTCCTGGAAATTAAAGGCAAAATGGGAAACATTATATATAATTCTTCTCTGATAAAAAGAAAGAATGCCAGTTCATGAGGAAAGTTAACATTTTTCCCCTGGAATTAAGTTCTAGAAGGAATCTGTCATCCTTGTACAAGAAAAATTGAACAAGTGGGTAATGTATTCAATGACATATTTGTGGAAGCACAAATGTTCATGGCATAGTTTCAATAAACAAAAGCAAAAAGTAATCCTTCAAGGTAAGTCTAAAGATGACCATCTACTTCCCACTATTTTTCTTTCATTCCTTTAAAATTTCATCGTCTCACTGAAGAAAAGGCTGTATGTATGAGGCCATAGGTATTAGGTATCACCTACAGAACGCCAAGAGGTATAAATCAAGCACTGTTTAACCACTGGTGCCTCCCACACATCAATACAGGAAGTTTCCTCTCTGGGAAGTGAGCAACTCTCCTGGGCCTTTATGGACAACCAGAAAAACTTAACGAGAGATGCCATAAAAATCTGGTCCAAATGTCTTGCAGTTTGTAGACTTCAATTTAATTAATAAAATCTGGTAGAGAATTCAATTACGTTCCAAGACTACTTCTGTTACTATTCTGGTTTATTTTTGCCTTTGGAGATGAGTGGGGGAGAAATGGTTAAAAGGGGTTTGGGAACAACAACTGTTCTTTATTTTTTATTTATTTATTTATTTATTTATTTATTTATTTATTTATTTATTTATTTATTGGAGACATAGTTTCAACTCTGTTGCCCAGGCTGGAGTGCAGTGGCGTGATCTCAGCTCACAGCAGCCTCCACCTCTCGGGTTCAATCGAGTTCAGGAGGCCTGACTCAGCCTCCTGAGTAGCTGGGACTACAGGCATGTGCCACCACTCCTGGCTAATTTTTTGTATTTTTCTTAGTAGATACGGGGTTTTGCTATGTTGTCCAGGCTGGTCGTGAACTCCGGAGCTCAAGCAATCCGCCCACCTTGGCCTCCCAAAGTGCTAGGATTACAGGCATGAGCCACCGCACCCAGCCAATGGCAACTGTTCTTTAAAGTGAAAGTAAATGGATGTACGCCTACCTACTTAAATATTTCTTCAAATGAGAAAGATTAACAGTGAACTCACCTTCAGAATCTCTTCAACACAATGGACTTCATTGGAGTAGGTCTGCTGAAAGTGAAAAGCAAAAAATAAAAGGTTAGCAAACCAGAGTCAAGAGTGATGGTACTGGTGGATGACTGTATTAATGCAGCAATACTCATCTCAAGGCTTACCTTCTACTAGCTAAGTATTAAGAACTTTACATTTGAAGCCTGGGCAACATGGCAAAACCCCATTTCTACCAAAAGCAATATAAAAATTAGCCATGCATGGTGGTGCATGCCTGTGATCCCAGCTACTCAGGAGGTAGAGGCAGGAGGATCACATGAGCCAGGGAGGTGGAGGCTGCAGTGAGCCAAGATCATGCCACTGCACTCTGGCTGTATATATATAAAACAACAACAACTTTACATTTGGATGAAATAAGACCAGAGAGATTAATCTAACTGAATCTTGTGGGGAAACACAGTAATGATGGAGACAATGGCAGACTAACTGTTGACCCTCAGGTTAAAAGTTTCTAAAATTTCTTTATTAAAGAAAATTAGTATATTAGTAAACCTAGGGAATAAGAGATGTACAAAATAAGATTAGAATAGGTGCCACAGTCAGCTACCTCATAGCAACAGCTAACCAATAAGCCACATTAAATGAAGACAAAGATGATGATCATCTGAACACATTAGTGGGTCGAAAGTAAGGAGCTAAGTCCAATCAAGGATAACTCTTCATTATTTTTATATGCTAGCCTGCCAAAATTCATTTTAAAGTTAAAAATATCTCACTTAAAGTCAGCATTTCACTTTATACATACATGCATATATACATACACAGACGCACACAAAGTTTTTTTCAGAGAAAGACTGTAAGGGTAGAGGAGATTAATTATTGTCTTAGAGGAAAGATCTACTATTTCTACCTCTTCCTAATACCCAGCTAAACAAATAATGATTATTGCTGCTGCTGGTATCACCACCAGACAGTGCCTAGGGAATGACATTTTACAGTCTACATATTTTTAAGAGCAAAGAAAGTAGGCAAAGTTAAATTAAAATCAATTATTTTTTCTGAACTAGAGACATGGAACATATGGTTTTCAATGGAATAGCAACTTGCTCTGTGTCAATTCATGAGCCAGGCATCATGGGCACAGTACAGCAAGTACTATACAACATATGACTTTCCCATTACTGCCACTGCTATGCATAAAACTCTGCTCTTTTTGGTCCATTTAATACCTACCTCGCAGCTAGAGAACAGATGGCAAGGGGTTCTTTCCTGTTCTTGGTTCTAATTTATGTGTAATTTAATATAGAACTGGTTGCTAATTTGCAATCTAGGGTTTATTAATCTACCATTTCCCTCATTCCAATTCACTCCATGGATGAAGAAAAAGGAAATAGAGCATACAAACATTCACACCGTCCTGTAATTGAATCTAATGTCAAAATTCAGATGTAGGCCAGGTGTGCTGGCTCACACCTGTAATCCCAGCACTTTGGGAGGCCGAGGCGGGCAGATTGCCTGAGCCCAGGAGTCTGAGAGCAGCCTGGGCATCATGGCAAAACCCCATCTCTACCAAAAATACAAAAATTAGCCAGTCTCGTAACCCAGTTTCAAAACAGACAAAAATTTAAAAATAAAATTTAAAAATTAAAAAAAAATTCAGATGCAGTCTGTTTTTAAAACATGTAAATTTCCTGGAAAGAGTCTTGAAGTCAGGTATAACCAAAGAGAATCAAGGGTGTCCCTTACATCTGGCAGGATCCACTGGAATCATCTCTAGCATTACACATGCAAACAACCAGGCCTTTTTGTTTTTAAAACCATTAAGAAACACCTAAAAACTGGACCAAACATTTGTGCTCTATTTTAGCACAAACTTAAGATACAGAAATGCTGTTTTTACATGAGGGTAAATGTAATACTATTCTACGATTTCAATTTACATGGATCATTAGAAAAATAACAATTAAAAGTCGAAGGTGAATCAATAGAACAAGCACATGACTGTGCTGAGTCTGGAAAAAATATTCCCCTCATCCTACGTGTTGCTGGAATGAGACTAGGAATCCAATCAAAATATTTGGCAACCATTAAAAATAGTGAAGCACATTTTAAAAGAAGGCAGAAAAGATTTGTCCGTTGTTTCCAACACAGTGATTTCAAAAAGCCACACCCTTCAAGAGACTGAAAGACTTCTTTCTGATCTCCATAATTACTCAAGCAGTAGACACTTTGCCAAGATGTTTCATGTCGCCGAAATGTTTTTTTTCCCCAAGAGTTTTGTTATGTTGGATGAACCAGGACTGAAGAAATTTTGAGAGCTTATTTTAGATTAGCAACATTGACCTTATCCAGATACTAATAGTCACCATTTAACCCATTTAAAATTCTAAATAAGGTCTTAGATTCAAGCATTAGTTGGTTAATTTACTGTTAATCTTCCTGTCAAGTCCATTATGGGAGTGAAGGTGTTTCAAAGGGGAACAGTGATTTCATTCCAAATATATGAGGGCATATCATATTTAGGGATCTCCACAAAGCACTGTTTCCCATGGCAAATAATTGGAAATGAGCAAATGGCAAACAACATGCATCTAGCTAACTGCCTTTACAGTGCATCCGTACAATGGTATGGCATGCAGATTTAATAACATAAACATAGGTGTTTGCATGGAAAGATGTTCAACATACATACTTTTTTCTTTAAAAATCATTTCATACGGCCGGGCGCAGTGGCTCACGCCTGTAATCCCAGCACTTTGGGAGGCTGAGGCAGGTGGATCAGGAGGTCAAGAGATAAGAGACCATCCTGGCTAACACGGTGAAACCCCATCTCTACTAAAAATACAAAAAATTAGCCAGGCGTGGTGGCGGATGCCTGTAGTCCCAGCTACTAGGGAGGCTGAGGCAGGAGAGTCGTGTGAACCTGGGAGGCGGAGCTTGCAGTGAGCAGAGATTGGGCCACTGTAGTCCAGCCTGGGAGACCGAGTGAGACTCTGTCTCAAAAAAAAAAAAAAAAAAAAAAAAAAATTCATTTCATTAGAGAAAAACTACAAAAGCCAGTAGGAGGATTTCCCACATACCTTTTACCCAGATTTCCCAAATGTTAGCATTTTACATTTGCTTTATATTTTTCTCTTCTGCTCACCTACATTTTGAACTGTTTAAGAGTAAGTTAGAGAGTTAATGTCCCTTTATCCCTAAATACTTTTGTGTATACCAAAACACATTGTAAACCTACATTTAAAAGAGAGGCTACTGAAAAGTTTGCATAGTATGAGATCATTTTATGTTCCATCTACCTGAGACTCACATCTTCACTCTTCTCGCCACCCTAATTAGAGACACTTAAACTACAAGACAGATCTTTTGGATTTGTTTACAGGGAAAGATCTACAAGGACAGGCTGCCTCGTCTCATAAAGTGCAACTTGGCACCTCCAAGCATGCCACTGGAAGGAGGTTTTCCAAAAGGGGAGCAGTTAAACCGTTACATCCTAATCCCCTAATCCCCTTCTTTTACAGAGATGGGGTCTTGCTATGGTGCCCAGGCTGGCCTGGGCTCAAGTCATCCTCCTACCTCAGCCTTCAGAGAGTAGCTGGAACTACAGGTGTGTGACACTGCACCTGGCTCTTAACCCCTTTCCTAAAATCCACTCTCCCAATAGGGTCTCCAGCCAAATACTGCTACTCCTACTAAAAGGAGCCAGACTCTCCCTTTAACACCATGGTCAAAGAATAAACAATTGGTCCTGGCCAGCTCTCTCTAAGCCACAACTGAGATAAGGCTGAAGACATTCAATGTACAACGTCCTTAAAGAACACAAAATGACAAAAAGCAACAATAAACATTTCTATGATAGTTGCATGAATCAAGAAAATCTAGTTTGTAAGTCCTTCTCTGGCTAGCTCTTTCCTCAATGGTATAGACACTGACTTTAACATGACCACAAAACACTGCCTTTTCCCACCCTTGATATCTATTAATAGGTTCCTAGAGGGCACGAGCTCTCCCCTTCTGCCTATCTAGAGCCATCTCACACATCTGGCTTCCTGTATGTAGACCAACCTCCCAGCAGAGACCACACTTTCCTCCTGGGATATGGCCTTAACAAGCAGCCATATTTAATTTTTAAAAAAATGATAGCAGCTACTTATTGAATGCATTTTGTACTTCACGTTGCATTAAACTCTTTCTATGTTATTATCACCTCAATTTGGTACCATCAATTGTACGACGCACCATTATTAGCTTGGGAGGTAGGGGGACTACACTAAATGTACCCATCAACTGTAAGATACATCCCTATTACATAAACTTAAAAATGCCTGAGGGAATTCTGTATAAAGCTCTATTTAATTCTCACATCAACCTTTGTGGTAGGTATTATGCCAGTTTTTAAAACGAGGAGACATGCTTTTGGAGTCCACGATGAGGTATTTACAAATAAAATAATTTTAAAAATAAAACGAGGAGACTGAATCCTAGAGAAATTAAGTTGTCTATGCAAGGACACACAAAAGCTCTGAAGCAGCTGAGCTGGCTCAGAATACTGTTATACCAGTTTTCTAAAAACCTCAACACTGCTGCAAGAAACAAATATATTAGCATTTTAGGAGGGTGTGTGATTCCAGTTGTCCTATGCATAACCTAAAACATTTTTTCAAGAGCTACGTTTTTCCTTTGCTTCTACAAAGAAGCATTTTGGTATTCACATTTAACTGCCTCTTCCTACTACCAGTGCTTCGGACCAGAAAAGGCAGCAATGCTGGCCGTGGCCTGATTTCTCACTCCTCCTGGAATGACATTGTGTAACTGTAAGGAAACGCACTGATACCAAAATAAAATATGTGAGTGAATGTCTTCTAAGCATGACAGTTTGTTTTAATAAGCTAAAAAGAGCTGGCTGAAGAAACATGCCACTGAGACTGGGAGGCTCTTGCAATATTGTGTTTTAAGTCTCTCAAGTTTCAACAGAGCGGCATTTTTATAACAATGCTATTCTCAAAAAGGCTTACTTATCACTAACCAGGAAATAGAGAGAGCACAAAGGCAATGTGCTGACGAGGGAAGCCAAAAGATCTTGGATTCTAGATCTGGCTCTGCTGAAGACTGGCGCTGAATCTTGGATAAGATTCATCCTCTTTGGGACTATTTCCTCATTGTGAGAAGGTATAGTATTACCAAACCTAACCACTTCTCAGGGTTGGTATGAAGGTCAAATATGTTTTCATATTAAAACATATCTAATAAAACACACTTTCAAAACCATCAAAAGGCACTGATATATGGAATAACAGGCGGTGCCAACATTATCAAGGCATTCTTTAACAGCATGACAGCTTAAAAAAAAAATCCCAATAGGTTATCTATCCAAAGTTTAATTTTTAAGAGAGTAAAATAAATGTCCAAGCTATTTTTCTTCAAATGTGTCACCACCTTTTGGATTACTGTTCAGTCTTCACTATTTGCTGCTCATCTACCCCCAACTCGCTAGTTAGATAAGTCACACTTTTCTTGCCCCGATCTGGAGCCCTCTTCTCTCTTCCATCTGTGTCAGGGATAATTCCTACTAAAGCTTCAGGTTGCAGATGAAAGACATCTTTTGGAAAACATCCCTGATGCTCCCTTACTCCCAAAACTGTCCAGGTTCTCTTGCAGATGCTCCCGTAACTATCCGTACATTCTCTGTTATTGCATCCTCTCTACTCCCTCTAGATAATATGTTCCATGGAAGTTAGGGCCAGAACCCTCACTGAATCACAGGGTGCCAGCCACACAGAGGCAACCCCATAAACAATGGCTGGCATGTTTTCAGTCCCGGAACTCAGAATTTGAAACTAAGTTTCTCTTATGGCTTTAGACACTTAAGAAGATGCAGGCTGCCTGAATTATAAAGCAACACCTTAATTAACAAACTAAACTACATGTAAATAAACATAAAAGAGACAAAAAGATAATTGTTTTGCATTGTTTTCTCCCTGGAAACATTACAACTACTGAGAAACTACTTTTCACACGTAGATTGGCAAACAGCCACAAGATTAACAATACTCCATCTATGAGATAGACATGGGGAAATAGGCACTCAAATCCCATGATTGGTAGGAGGATTAAGTGCTACAACCTTTAAGGACATTAATTTGGCAATAGTCAGCAAATTCTAATTACACAGACACTTCTCTAACCTTTAGCACTGCCTCCTACATGTACAAAAAAAATATGTACAAAGTTATTCACTTCAGCCTAGTTTGCAAATAGCAAGATACTGGAAACAATCTAAATGTGTATCTACAGGTAACTGACTATGAAAACTATGGTACATGCCACCTAGAAAGAAATAAATGCTACGCAACTACAACAAAGAATAAGGATGCTCTTTTTGCATTGATTTGGGGTAATCTCCAAGATACATTGTTTAGAAGAATAAATTTTTAAAAAAAGATGCATTATATGCCAGCATTTCTATAAATGAAGAAAGTATCAATGAGAAGAAAACATATATATGGAGTTGCTTACTATGCATAAAATACCACTGGGAATGATACACAAGAAAGTCCTAACATCAATTACTTCCAGAAAGGAAGGCTGGGGAATGGAGGCTGGGGGAAGGAATAGGGGGAAGATTTTCAATGTATATCCTTTTTTTAACCTTTTAAATTCTGACCTATTACCTATTCATTACTAAAAACACAAATATTAGATTGAAATAAATAGGGATCAAAAGCCTGTTCTCGAAGTACAGCTAAATTTTCTATTAGCCTTCCTCTATGTAACTTACCTTACTCTGAACACACACCTATGTTAAACTGTCCCCAGCTTACACCTTGGTGCTCTGGGCACACCCTACGTAATACACGCCACACTGAATTTTTGTAAAAAAAACAAAACAAAACAGATTTCCAGTCAGCCTTCCCTAATGGAACTCGAGTTGCCACAGGACTTGCTCTGAAGGCCTGGCCCAGTGTTCACTTGCTAAACTTCACGAACTTTCCAAACTAGACTAGAAAGTTATTGAAAGAGAAGTTTTTTATTCTCGCTCTCCTTTTTGTTAGTCATACTTACATAGTGAGAAGACACATTTGAAATGAACATAATCTTACAGGGTTGTTTTGAGGAAGAAATAAGACAATGCATGTTAAAACTAATTCCATACAAATAAATACATGCATTTATATGAAGACACCATAATCATCATTTCTAAGAGACAGATTAGAGGAGGAGACTAAAAGGCCTGGCTGAACAAGGTTTGTCATAAAATTGTGTTCTATAGACACAGAGTAAATTACATAAATAGCTAAGCCTGTTCCAAGAACATGCTCATACTGCCTGGGTGTGCCTACTTCAGCTGGAAAACGTTCAAAGGGACCAGCAGTAATTCTACTTTCAGAAGCATCATGCCCTATGGGCAACTACCCATCTATCTGTATACCCAGAATTTTAGGATAAACATTTTTTTAAATCACTGGACAGATATATGAGCACAGTTATAGTCCAAATTAAAACAAGGAAAACAACAACAAAAAACAGCCATGCTAAAGATTAATATGGATGGAGGGGTGATGGATTACAAAACAAGGAATAAGGTGCTCTGAACAGCTTTCCTAAAAATAAAGTATTATTACATTAAGTTGCAAAACCAACTTTAACTGTTAAATCCTCCCTTAAGAATTATTAGCTACACTTCATCTAATCCCAGATATCTTTAAATAATGGAAAGGTTTTGGATATTCCTTAAAAGTGATAAGCTCTAATATGTAGCAAAAAATTACTTTCATGTTCCCTGACTCTTTTTAACGTCAAACTGCCTGCCACATGTGAAGACTAACACAAATGAGGCTAACTGCAGAATCTCCCTAACTGCAGAATCTCTATAGTTCTCTAAACAGATTTTTCAGGGAGAGGAGAAATAAGGTGGATAAAAAAGATTATTTTAAAATAATGAGGAATCTCTAGGTCACCTACAGTTATCTCCCAACAAAAATTTATTATGAAACGAACAAGGAATTCTACTCCTATTGGGGGAACCTAGAAGAAGGGGGTAGTGCATCACAACCACTGGCTGCCCTTTTCTGGAAGTCTTCCCTCCCTTGACTCTCCAATCACATTCAACTCTGGATTGTAACCCTTAGTGTTCTAATCTTTCTCCTCCAGACAGGCTTCCCACAAGCAGGAACTAGGGTTTAGTAATCTCTGCATTCCTCACAAGGCCTTAGCATAATTCTAGACTCATTTAATATTTATAAAATGAATACTCGATTTTGTCATGTCATGACATCTCAAACAAAATTCAGATACATAAGATAACCAAAAAGTAATTAGAGTTTTATGGTGAATTTCCAATCTCTTTCCTGGGAAGCAATATATGTCAGCTCATATTGGTAAAACTCCAGACAACTTCACAGAACAGTGATATTTTTAAGATGCAGAAGTCTTCAAATTTTAAAGAAGTATTATCTTGTGACTATAATCCATCAACCACTACCACCTAATCAGATGTTTTCACCTATAAGAGTAGTTGCCTAAATGCAGTTTGGGGACATAAATTTCTCAGAATGCAAAATTTCAGATATGACAGTAACATCAGAACGTCAGGTTGGGGAGGGTAGGTATATCAGGCAGCATGTTTGGGTAAAGAAAGGATGTACGTACGCTTCCTTGAGATAGAAGATGAAGAAATAATACTCCAGGATAAACACTGGAAGATCATGTTAGAGATGTGCTGGCACCCCAGTTCATTTAATAAATGAGAGCCTAATATATCGTGTAGATAGGAGATATATATATAACATATTGAATACGTGTGTATATATGTGTACATATAAGTGAATATATGCACACATATTTATATATTTGATTTTTTTAAATTTACCTTTAGGTAAATTGCTCTTTCATAAGCAAATGATATTACCTTATCTTTCATCAACTAAAGCAAAAACAAGCTAAAAAAACCCACTAAATCCTAAGACATCACTGAAACTTATAAAACCCAATGGGAAGAAGTATTTTAAAATAGCAGTTCTTTAAAGATTAATATGAATAATTAGAAAACTTATTGTTTCTTTCCAGTTGGTCATTTTGATTATACCAGTGAGGTAATCTGCATAATTGGCATCATAAAGATATTTTTCTAAAGCATATAAAATTTGTAGAGGCTCAATCTGCATTAACTGAGCTACTTAAAACATTCTGGAAATTTTGTTTTGATCTCTACAAAGAGGGCCTCTTTTAATTATGAAACCAAGGATTCCAGTTCTTAAGACCCGGCTTAAATAAAAATGAAAACAATGAGTGGTTGTTGTCCACATGTATAATTGTAAACACTCACTTGATAAGAATATGCAAATAATGAGAGAAGCAGTAACAATGCTGGATTCACTGATTTTGTTACCATTATATATCCTGAGATCACATACAATATAATTTTTGATGTTTGCAAGGTCCTGTATAGTCACATGAAACAGTACATATAAAAGGTACAATTCAGTGTTGATGTTTTATACGCAGAAATGTTTTCAGTACATATTATGACAATATGTCAACTAACAGTGCAAAAGTTAAAATAAGTAGGGTGTGCTGGGATAGGTTTAAACTCACTTAACAACAAAGTACCTGAATGAAAAACAAATGTAAAAAACTTACCACTGTTTGACAGTAAATGTCTAATCTCAGTTATTCACCAACTTCCTAACTATTGACTATGAACCATTACCATTCACCACGTAATAAGGGGAATCAGAATCCCCAATGGTCTAAGACTTTAAAACACTGTGCCTTTGATGAAAGACCACATGAGGCCCCATGAAGCCCATTGTGGGCACAGCAGCCATGAATGATTAAGTAAGAATGGTTAAAAGGCACTGATTTTTTTTTTTTTAAAGGCATCACAAAGAACAAGTCTAGACACTGGTTCCATTCCAGCAATAGTCAACTGACAAGTCCTTTCAAATGGCCTAAGCTATATGATCTATTTCCCCTTCTACAACCAATTCTGCTCACGAAAACCTCAGAGTGTTTTTCGGAAGAATTTAATTTTTTTTTTTTCAGTGGGACTATCAATTTGCAAAGCATGAGTAGTAGCTTTTCAGTTAAAACCTATTGCTGCAGGGAGGGTGTGAAACTGCAGCGTGGTGGTGTTCTGTCACATGCTTCCTGCCCTGCACCCACCCCATCCAGTCCTACACACACATGCACACACGCACGTGCACACACACACGAGCACTCTACTCTGTCTCTCAAATCGTATTAACGGATGGTTCTGAGTCAAAACACTATTAAATTACTTTGTCAACCATGACAGGATTTATGGATACATAAACCTGTATTTCTGCTCTCTGTCAAATGAAAGTGCAAACAATGTTCAGGAAGCATGTTTAATTCTATGTTGCAGAGAGTGCCTGCCTGGACATTTACTTTTTTCACAGCTGAGCATAAGCTAAGATTATAGAAGCACCAGAAAAAGGAAGAAGAAAAAAACAACTTTGTATCAGTTTCTGGATGAGGCCGAAAGAAACTGCAGTCATATGAGTCAGATAAACTATTTAATCCACGCTTTGTCTGAAAGGACATAAAGATTTTATCCTGGGCTTATTCCAGCAGTAATCTCAACAGCCTCTTCTGGAGTAGGTGTTGGTTTTCTGTCTCCTGGCATCGTTATTTAAAAACAAAACACAAAAAAAACGGGGGAAAAAAGGACAGAAAATTATTGAAGTGGTAGGCTAGAGGCATATATACTCTGAGGAAGCAATCTGAGCCCCAAACACCCTGGGGATTACTGACACTATAACAAACGCAAAAGAGAGAAGGCAAATAAAGACGACCTTGTCCTTGACATCTTAATTCTGAACAAGTAAATCCTCCGCCCCCGCTTTTTTTTTTTTTTTTTTTTTTTTTTTTTTTTTTGGCTTTAATGCTGGGTAATGAGCAATCAGGTTAATTACTAGGGTCTAGAAAAAGGGCTCAAGGTCATCCTGGGAATGTACAATTCATTTAATATCAGAACATCATGAACAGTTATACATCATTTATTTAAGCCTATCAAAAAGTGCCTAATTTAAGGAAGTATTTTGCTTTTCTATAACCTATCAATAAACAGATTTGGTCTTTTTTTTTTTTTAAGGCTTACTAATCCCACTGAATCTTAGATAGACTTAATTATCTTTTCCTGCGTTATCTCTGCATATAAATTTGGTCTAAAACTATACACAAACTACATCAGACTTCCAGCAAGACTCATCTGATACACTGATTTACTGATCTGGTGAAAGCGAAAATATATTTAATACAAAAGTTTGAAAATAAGACTCCATCATTCGACAAACGCCAGTATTTCTTTTTAAATAAACACAAGAGGCTGGGTACACTGGCTCACGCCTGTAATCCCAGCACCTTGGAAGACCGAGGGCAGGCAGATCACTTGAGGTCAGTAGTTTGTGACCAGCCTGGCCAACATGGTGAAATCCCATCTCTACTAAAAATACAAAAAAAATCAGCCAGGCGTGGTGGTGGGTGGTGCAAGCGTGTAATCCCAGCTACTGGGGAGGCTGAAGCAGGAGAATTGCTGAACCTAGGAGGCGGAGGCTGCCGTGAGCTGAGATCGTGCCACTGCACTCCAGCCTGAGAGACAGAGCAAAACTCCATCTCAAAAATATAAATATAAAAATAAATAATAAATAAATACAAGGGGCAGACTAGATATATAAAAGTTATTCTTGAATTTATTTTAAATAGGTATTTAATAAGTGCCAAGGAGAAAATCGTTTAAAAAATAAATGTCCTCTTAATGCCTTCTGAATTTAAATTTTTTTTTTTTTTTTTTTTGAGACGGAGTCTCGCTCTGTTGCCCAGGCTGGAGTGCAGTGGTGTGATCTTGGCTCACTGCAAGCTCCGCCTCCCGGGTTCACGCCATTCTCCTGCCTCAGACTCCTGAGTAGCTGGGACTACAGGCGCCCGCCACCAGGCCCAGCTAATTTTTTGTATTTTTAGTAGAGACGGGTCTTCACCGTGTTAGCCAGGATGGTCTAGATCTCCTGACTTCGTGATCCGCCCACCTCGGCCTCCCAAAGTGCTGGGATTACAGGCGTGAGCCACCACGCCCAGCCCTGAATTTAAAATCTTCTAAGCATTCATATTATTTTCTCTCCATCTCAATTTATTTCTCTCATCGTCTGCCTCTGACTTCACACACCGACACACACACACAACCAAGAAGTTTAAAAGATTCCCGTTGGCCTTTAATCCAGAGCTCCTGACCCGAAACTCCAATCTTTTCAGTGTTTTGAGGCACAATCTAACTTAACCACATCATAACCCCCAATATTCTTGCATTCACTATCTTTCCTGATTCTTCCCTTTCCCTCCATACTTTTCTATATAGAATACAGAACCTAAGTGACAGAGAAGAGATCATATGGAAAAAAGGCAACCGTTCTAATAGTAACAACAAAAGCAACTCCCTTTGGAAATTGCCTTTAGAAAATGGAGGGTCAACCAGCACAAGTAGATGATATCTAGGTTGTACATAAACCCAACTGTGGCCCTCCTGACTACTTCATCCACCTGGCACACAGCCCATGGGAGAACAATCCTGGAGCCACCGCACTGCTTTCCTGGCATCATAATCATGGTGACAGCTTGGGGGTGGGGAAGGAAGTGTATTATTAAAAAAAATTTAAAGGTCTTTCAACTTGAATTTCTTTAACTGGCATACAGCAATATCCTCCATAAAAATGAGCAGTGTTATTTCTACAGCCACAGCAACACTGTCTACCAGGCTGCGCTGGCATGAACACCACAGTAAACGAGCCTGAAAAGACTGAAGACAGGCCCCTGAGCAGATCAGTTTTATCTGTTTTATTATCTCTTCTAGGTAAATCTTTAAAAGCCATCTCAATGTCCAACAGTTGTTTCCTTAATAAATAATTTACCAAAAGCTTCTTGTGGAATAAAATACACCAGTTTTTTTTCCTACACTAACCTAGAACCCTGTATTTAAAAAAAAAAAAAAAAAGACTGGTAGGGAAATTAAAAGTCACTGGAAAACTACTACCTCCTAAGTCTGGTGGTAACAGGTCCTCCAATTCATTTTATAACATAGTTCTTACTAAAAACAGCCAAAAAGGTATAACTAGCCTACATTCAAATCAATCAAAGAAAAAATTGGGGGTTCTTCTTCCTTTCTCACTGCTTTTTCGCCAGTTTCTCAGTTGTCTTGGCGTTGACTTAAGCGGACTCACTATAGCTAACCTTAAACAATTCCTGTCTCCTGGGGAGTAAAAAGTGGAAACACTATCGTCCTCGCCTATTAGCTTTTCATCACATAAATTTACACCCCCTACAAATATAGACAGATCACAAACTATGCTGAATAAATTAATGAGAACCATAAAGCTAGAAGTACACTGAAATTTCTCTAGTACACCTGTCTGTATTGAAGGAAAATTATTTTGAAATTTTCCTAGACTGGTGAAAATTAATACTGTTTATATGTTAAAACTTGGGTAGAAGCACCCACCATCTTTTAAATTTGACTTAAATTGTAAGTTTCTTATGAGAAACAACAAATAACATCTTGGATGGAGTGTGCATGCACATGCATAAATGCATACGCACACATACATCATATTTAGGCTGAGAAGCTGCCAATATTTTCAGTTTTTAGCTTTACTTCAGGAAGATTTTTAAAAGCCATAAACATTTGCTAAGTGATCCAGAAATTCAAGTCCAGAGTTTGAAAGATGAAGAAAAGGCTGAGCATGGTGGCTCACGCCTGTAATCCCAGCATTTTGGGAGGCCGAGGCAGGTGGATCACAAGGTCAGGAGTTCGAGACCAGCCTGGTCAACATGGTGAAACCCAGTCTCTACTAAAAATACAAAAATTAGGTCTGGGTGCAGTGGCTCACGCCTCTACTCCCAGCACTTCGGGAGGCCGAGACAGGTGGATCACAAGGTCAGGAGATTGAGACTAGCCTCGCCAACATGGTGAAACCCCGTTTCTACTAAAAATACAAAAATTAGCGTGGTGTGGTGGCGCAGGCCTGTAATCCCAGCTACTCAGGAGGCTGACGCAGGACAATCACTTGAACCCGGGAGGCAGGGGTTGCAGTGAGCTGAGATCCTGCCACTGCACTCCAGCCTGGTGACTAAGCGAGACTCCATCTCAAAACAAAAATAAAAACAAAACCAACAACAAAAAATTAGTCAGGCGTTGTGGCACACGCCTGTAATCCCAGCTACTCAGGAGGCTGAGGCAGGAGAATTGCTTGAACAGGGTTGGGGGAAAAGGTTGCAGTGAGCTGAGATCCCACACTATACTCCAGCCTGGGCAACAGAGTGAGACTCCGTCTCAAAAAAAAAAAAAAAAAAAATCCTGAGTGATAAGGAATACCTTATTTAATACTTATGTTTTGAATTTCTTTCAAATATATTGCCAAGAATATGCTGTGATTTTCTCCAGATACAAAACTCCAAGTTATATTTTCTCTACTGTCACTCTCACCATTATTTCAGTAAAATGAAAGAAAGGAGGGGAAGGAGAAGAGAAAAAAGGAAGGGAGGAAGTGGGGGGAAAGGGAAGGGAAAGGAGGGAGAGATGATAGGAGAGGGAGAGAGGAGAGAGAGGAGAGGGAAAGGGGAGAGAAAGAGGAGGGGAGAGAAAGAGGAGGGGAGAGGAGAGAAAAGATGGAGAGAGGAAAGAGAAAGCAAGGAAGAGAGACGAGAGGGAGGGAGGAAGAGGATAGGGAGAGAGAGGGAGAAGGGGAGAGGGAGGGAGGGAGAGACAGAAAAGAGAGGAGATGGGGACAGAAGGAGAGGGAGGGAGAGAATGAATCCATAATCTAAACTAACAACCATGCAAATCTCAAGAGGTATTCCAAGCCTCTAGTGGTAGCCAAAAAAAAAAAAAAAAAAAAAAGAGGCCACACACACCACGCCACCTGTCTATTACCTATCAAGTTTATACAGAGGGAGGGGACATGGGAAGGGACGAATACCTATGGCTGGCAAGCTTATTTACCTTGTTTATAAGGTCATGCACTAAACCACAGAGGTCATTTTGATCCTTCTCTTCTTCCATGTTAGCCCCTAACACAGGGGGGCAAAAGAAAAGAAGAGAAGGGGGAAGAGAAACAAGACACATCAACTTTCTCTTGTGGCCTCACCTCTCACTTATTTCCCTACCCTCCATCCTCCCCACCTGAACCTCCAGCTGCTGCATACTTACTGTGGGGCAGCTGTACACTGTGGGGCACTCACCTCTGTGAACATGTCTTACTGCCTTCCCACATGGCAAAAAAGCTTTCCTGTTTTCACACATCCCCTTGCCAGCCCTAATCGGTGCCACTAGGTCACTGTCTCGTGTGCTGGCGGCTGCAATGGCGGCCCTTACAGGAAAGAACTTTGAATCTCTTCCCTTGTACTGAGCCATAAGAAGCAGTGAGTGCTCCCAGGCATAACTCCCCTGGCTCTGCTCCTAAAAATGCTCTCTCAAGTACACCGTTGCTTAGCAATATTTGCCTTCCCCCTGTACATTTGAAATTGGCAACATCTGTCCCTTTGGCAGTTTTGATTCGTGCAAAGCACCATGTGCGTAGTTCAAAAACATACAGCTTTATGAAATGGGCAATGCCTCCATACCTCCCGTCTCCCTGCAAAACCAGGATGTGAAGACCCAAAAATAGTTTAACCTTTGTTTTCAAGGCTGATGGAAAAATCTATGGGATTTAAAGTAGATGATAGCACACAAGCAAAATAGTTAAGCCACCAGTGGGAGTTCCTATTAAAACCTGCCTAATAGGCAGTGTCTGAAAAATCTCATCTAGTTAACAATTTCCTTTAGAATTAATTCTATCACAAGGCATTATGTGTAAATGCATATCATTAGTAAGATAAGATATAAAGGCAATTTATTCATGGAGTGGGGGGGGGGCAATTTTCATGCTTACATTATAGCCCAATCTCAGGAACAAAAATAACAATACACACGTGCACACATCCCCACCCCCACTCCACTGGCAATGGGAATTTTAAAACTCTAGAGGGAAAAATTCAGTAATTCCAGTATTATGTATTTCAAAACAAATGATCCTAAGTTTCCTAAGTTTCGTTATTTATCCCATAACAGTCACTTTAGTATTTTACTGAGGTTACTTGTTAATATTAAAGTAGCTCATAACATGTAATTTTACATATAAGAAAAAACTATATGAGAAATAAAACTTCTATGTAGAACTAGAATACTACCCATAAAACTTTACTTTTTATCTAGCACACTGATAGAGAAATAAAAATCCGAGTAATAAAAAGCATAAAAGTCTACTGAGCATTGAACCATGCTCTGTGCATCCAAACTGTGGCATGTAGACATTTTTGTTCCTTTAAACAAATCAGGCTATAATTTTCTTTTTAGCTTAAGCTAAACCAATTCTGACATATTAGAAACACATGTTTCCAAAGAAATTCTACAGGAACTGAGTTCCAACTACAAAGGGTAAGCTGACCTTTTTGCTCTCAAGTCTCTATCTGAAAGCTTACAGCAGCAGAAAAGACTGGGTAATACTTATTGCCACTAAAAACACATCCAGCAGGCCCCTGACTCTGTGCATTTAGCAATGCCCCTGAAATTCCAGAACATGCATGAATTTGTAATCTTGGTTAGCCACAAATGTGAATCCAACACCCTAGAATCCACTTCTCACTGTAGTCCATCACTCACCACTCAAGGGATACATACAGTAATTCTCGTGAAGTTACACTTTATTGCAGTTTATGGGAACAACTTCAGCAGACTTTGCAAACAGGAATTCTCAAAAATCTCAGGAGATGTTTGTAGAAGTTATCCATAGTGGTTCTGGCTGTGCAGGGTAGGTGCTTATGAGCAAGATTCTCCAACTATTAAGCTTGTTGCATGGAAACGGCTTAAACACAGTGCCTGTACACACAGAGTATGTTCTCAATAAAATGCAGATGTTATTTTTATTGTTTTACCATCTTACCATGGCACAAAAGCCTCAGTCTTTCTTTCTTTTCTTCCATCCTACTAAGGTTTCCCACTTCTGTCATTAACCAAACTTTTATTTCATGAATCTCTGTGAAAATGTCCTCTGAAAGGGGAAAGGGAATGATAAACAGTAACAAATTCTGTAACTTTTAATAATTGTATAGTACAATCTTTGATTACATCTCCTCCTCTGATATAATCGTAAACAGCTGCAGACTCTTCAGCTCTGAAGAAGCCGTCGTGTACTTGACCTTTGTGTCTGCAGTATGTTTCTAATAAATTCTGAATTAATTAATGTGGGAGAAACATCTTAATTTGTAAATGCTGGGATCCTGGCTCTAGGGGATGAGGATGAAAGGAGCCAGGGCAGAGGCTGAGGTGCTGTCCACCAGGAAAGTGCTGATAAACCTTCAGGGTTGGGTTGAGAATGCCTCCAAGATACCCCTCAAGTCAAGCCATTTATTAGACAAGAAGAAGGAACAAAAAACCTTTCCCTGTGGAGAGTTCCAGGGCTGAGAGGGGAAAGTAAAGACAGGCCATGTCAGTACTACCCTTCTCCTTGTCTCTCCCTACCTGTTTTTGTTTTTGTTTTTGTTTTGAGACAGGGTCTCACTGTGTTGCCCAGGCTGGAGTTCACTGGTGCAATCATATAGCTCACTGTAACCTCAAGCTCTTGAGCTGAAGTGATCCTCTCACCTCAGCCTCCTCAGCAGCTAAGACTACAAGCACACACACCATTATGCTCAGCTAATTGTTAAATATTTATAGGGATGGGGGGCGGTCTATGTTGCCTAGGCTAGTCTCAAAACTCCTGGCCTACAGTAATCCTCCCACCTCAGCCTGGCATGACCCCCTACACCCAGCCAAACTGTCCCATTACAGAGTCTGCAGGGCAATGACCGGTCACTAGAAAGCCAAACATCAGGGCTTACTTAACCAACTAATAAAGCATTATTAAAATTTTCTCCATTCTAAGGCTTTTGATGAGACCTGCTTATTAGGATGGATGTCACGATCTTGGCCCACAGTGCCAATCAATAAGTAAAAATGATTAGGTCTACAAGCAATGGAAACATGGGTATTATCATGCAGTGAAACCCTGCCCTGTTCTGGTACCATGAAGGAAATCTCCATGAACCCTGTGTCATCTTCACCTCTGAAAATGTTTGAACAGACTCCAGCCTCAATCTCCTTTGAACCTATATATCTAATAACCTGCTGGCATAGTTAAAAATAAATTTAAAAGTTATCATCATAAAAGCCTTCTAAAAACTATTCCTCACTCAAGAAAAATTTCTACAGGATGGTATTAGCAGGAGCAGCAGTAGTCAGTACCAAAAACATTTATTAAGGGGCAGAGAGGTTGCACAGAGAAAGGGGGGGGAAAAATAATGGGCAAAATTTAATTCTCAACTGTTTAAGTTCTTTAAGCACAAGGAAGCCATCCGCTGGTAAGGCAAGAAAATGTTTAAAATTACCTCCGGCCTAAAACTTATTTTTCTTCTGACACTGCCCCATCTTTAACCAGTCTTTCCTCCATGATATGAGGACAGTCCAAAACAGTTTTTCCCAAACTTCGGTCATTTCTATACTACTTTGATAGCGGCACTGCGTCATAATACTACTTGTACTATTTTTTTAGATCAGTTTATGATCAACTCACTTTTTTTTTTTTTAACCTCACCTCATCCTAAGCAATATTTGTGAAACCCTAGGTTTGTTTGATATGCTGGTTTATATTTCTTCCTAATTCACATGACATGATTTGGCTGTGTCCCCACCCAAATCTCATCTTGAATTCCCATGTGTTGTGGGAGGGAGCTGGTGGGAGGTAATTCGATCATGGGGGCAGGTCTTTCCCGTGCTGTTCTTGTAACAGTGAGTCTCATGAGATCTGATGGTTTTAAAAACAGGAGTTTCCCTGCACAACCTCTCTCTTTGCCGCCACTCACGTAGACGTGACCTGCTCCTCCTTGCCTTCCGCATGACTGTGAGGCTTCCATGTGGAACTGTGAGTTCTCCACTAAACCTCTTTCCTTTGTAAATTGCCCAGTCTCAGGTATGTCTTTATCAGCAGTGTGAAAGCAGACTAATGCACCACATTAAGACACATAAAATAAAGGTTGGTGTCCCCACACTATATTATTTTTTCTTGTGACAGAGTCTGTCAGCCAGGCTGGAGTGCAGTGGCACGAACACAGCTCACTGCAGCCTACACTTCCTGTGCTCAAGTGATCCTCCTACCTCAGCCTCCTGAGCAGCTGGGACCGCAGGTGCATGCCACAACACCCGGCTTTTTTTTTTTTTTCTTTTGAGACGGAATTTCACTCTTGTTGCCCAGGCTGGAGTGCAATGACGCGATCTCGACTTTACTGCAACCTCCGCTTCCTGGGTTCAAGCAATTCTCCTTCCTCAGCCTCCTGAGGATTACAGGCACCCACCACCATGCCTGGCTAATTTTTGCATTTTTAGTAGAGACAGGGTTTCACCCTGTTGCCCAGGCTGGTCTCGAATTCCTGACCTCAGATGATCCACCCACCTCAGCCTCCCAAAGTGCTGAGATTATAGACATGAGCCACCGTGCCCAGCCGCTAATTTTTAAAATGTTTTGTAGAGACAGTCTCACCATGTTGTCCAGGTTGGTCTCAAACTCCTGGGCTCGAGGAATCCTCCTGCCTCGGCTTCCCAAAGTGTTGGGATTACAGGCGTGAGCCACTGTGCCTGGCCTCCATACTATTTTAAAGAAGTTTATATACTCATCAATACTATGTGAACCAAAAACTGAATGAATATCTTGGGACATTCCAGCTTCCTACCCTGTAAAACCATCTTACTCTATCAGTCAATACAAATGTTGCCTATCTTCTATATTGGATTCAGGAACCTTCAGAGATTCCATGAAAATATGTTTAATCTTACACCTTTCCTTACTAAATTTGTGACCCAGGTCACAGAATTAACACTTTATACATCAGTGTTCAGTTCAGTACTATAATTTTTTCTATTTGTCACAATGCTCAAATGTGACGGGGCTCAAAAAGCCCTTTACACACTAGCCCTTGCCCCATATACTTCTCACAACTAATGCAATTCTGGAATCCTGAAACTACAGCAAGTATTCAGTACTTTATTAGGGCATAAAATATCTATTCAAGTCTCTTATTGAAAAAGTGTAACATTTAAAAACTTGACTAAAATTAAATCCATGACACAGAGTTTCATTACTTCATCACAACAACTGTGAAACACCAGCAAACCAACCTAAAACACAAAGATATTTCTTGGGATTCTGCTGACTTCTAGGCACAGCTGTAACATCTATACAGACTACTTGAAGATGGATAATATACAATTTTCCTACAGCATAAATTTTCTTTTACTAACACAATATGTCAAGGAAAGGTGGTATATCTCACAATATACTAAATGTCAGGCAAACATATCCCATTTAATTCTCACAACAGCCCTCTAGCTCAGGAAATACTGTCCCATTTAAATGTGAAGTAGAATGAACCCATGCATTCTAACTCCATAGCTCTGTCCATTAGAAACATTATTTCCCACTCATATTTTCTTAAAGCCATAATATTCAAAACTATTAAAACTTCCACAATTTCAGATTCTAAGCCAAGGTAAAGAGGTGGATCTGGCCGGGCGCGGTGGCTCACGCCTGCAATCCCAGCACTTTGGGAGGCCGAGGTGGGCGGATCACCTGAGGCTGGGAGTTCGAGAACAGCCTCACCCACACGGAGAAACCCCATCCTGCTAAAAATACAAAATTAGCCAGGATTGGTGGTGCATGCTTATTATCCCAGCTACTTGGGAAGGCTGAGGCAGGAGAATCGCTTGAACCTGGGAGGTGGAGGTTGCAGTGAGCCAAGATCATGCCATTGCACTCCAGCCTGGGCAACAAGAGCAAAACTCTGTCTCAAAAAAAAAAAAAAAAAAAAAAAAAAAAGAGGTGAATCTACTATGCTTATACATTTAGACAACGTTAAAATAACTGCTATAATTATGATGTAGATACAGCAGCTATTACATACTTACTATATGCCAGACATCGATATAAAGGTTTAACATACATTTTCTTACTTAAACCTATCTCCTTACAAAGAACTGTCTACCATTGCTATTTTACAGAAAAGAAATTGAGACTTGAACAGGTTAAGTAGTTTTCTTGTCTTATAACGGCCTCGAGAAGGTAAAAACAAGATTCAAACCCAAGTCTTCCTTAATCCCAAATCCATGCTTTTAACCACTACCTATATATAATGCCTAAAAGCCTCATCTAATTATTTCCAAAAACAAAACCTTAAAATATATCTTCCTTCCTTCCAACAACATCCAGTCTTTACCATCCAATGAATAACATGCTGTATTATATACTTATTCACCACTAGTTATAAATAAGTACCCACCTGTACCCTACAGAACACATGAGTTTTCTATCTAACTAAGTGATTAATATTGCTAAAATCAAAAGAAAGAAACAAACTTTTGTATGCTGATGAATGTTTAAAACAGGCTTCCTATTACTGGCTATAAAAATAAGTAATTTAAAATAAAAGGTATTAAAGGATATGCTATTGGACTTGGTATTGTAAACAGCACCACCATTTAAGTGCTATAATTCAAACTCTTTTGGAAAAAAAACATATATTTTACAGCTGAAAAAAGCATCGATAACTCCTGCTGTGGTCTGAATGTGTCTCTCCAAAGTTCCTATGTTGGACTTAAATCCCAAGGTGATAATATTAAGAGGCAGGGCTACCGGGAGGTGCTTAGGTCATGAGGGCTCGCTGCCCTCATGGATGGGATCAGTGCCTGTATAAAGGGGTTTGAGGGAGCAAGTCTCTTCCATCTCTTCTGCCACATGAGGACGTAGCAAGATACACCATCTTGGAGGCAGAAAGCAAGTCCTTATCAGACACTCAATCTGTTAGCACCTTGATCTTGGACGTCCCAATCTCTAAAACTGCGAGAAATAAATGTCTATTGTTTATAAATTACCCAGTCTAAGGTCTTTTGTTATGGCAGCATCACTAGACTAAGATAATTATCCATTTTCTCATCACTCATACAGGAAAACTAAAACAAGGAGGATAAGAATCCATGTTCCACAGTTTTGGGAACAGCCGTCTAAAAAGAAAAAAGTTAATTAGACTAACCTTGTTAGTATTTTGTTTTCCGTATGAATGAATGAATGAATGCCTGAATCATACATTTAAAGACTTGTAGGAAAACATCTCTATGTTTGGATAGAGGGTCAAAAAAAGCAAAGTTTATTCTACTTTACCTAATTCCTTTCAAAAGTTTGAGAAATCAATCACATTTTTTTAAGGACATTTCATGATGACATTACCTTACTGAAAAGATAGGTCTTTTGCATGTCTGGATTCTCATGTCTTGGGTCTGCTCAAAGTGAGGAATAATCATACAGATAAAGAAATGCTTGAATTGACGGAGAGAACATTAACAGTTACAGGGATCAAGCAGGTGATATCAAGGGCCTAGTTAGGTCTGGGACAAGACAGCACATGCACCCTGCCTAACAGGATTGCGCTGTAAGACTGTATGTTGCCAATTCTTCCCATTTTTAACACAAAAAATAAAATCCAGATTTCAATGTGAAGGTACTAATTTTTAGATGTTGGCAACTAAATTAATATAACAGTCTCTGACGCTCTGTGGGCAGCCACGCCCCAGTGTTGGTTTTAATGCTTCCTTCTCTCACAAGTGGGAGAACAAGGGAGTAAGAGATTGAGAGATGCATTCATTTTTAAGAGAAGAATCTCCTGTTGTGCTAAACATGGCCCAGTTTAAGGTACTATGGATATCTTCAGTTTCCATACAGAGATTCTGAATAGGTCCTCAGCCTGGAGGGGCCATGGAATGAGGCAGCCTCTTCCCTTTACTGCTGTGGTCTCCTCTCTGCTGCACAAGCTCCTGCCAAAGCCATGGGCATACTTTAGCGGATGGGCATACTCAGCCTGACAGATCACTAGAAACACGAACCAAGTAAGCAAAACAAACCACAGTGTAGTTATTTTACATGACTTGAATGAAATAAATCTGAACTACAGGTGAGTCATAACATAATAAAAGACTCAATTAGGTTCAGAACAACAGACCAGTGTTTTCCCTTGTCTTAGCAACTAGTTCACTAGAATCCTGAGCGAATATAAGGGAGATAAAAGACCTCGGTACCGGTTTTATCCTTTAGTGCAAGACCATTAATCTACTAGAAAATTAAGCCCAGGTTGCCAGTCAGGCAATTTCAGGGTCAATAATTCCGTTTTTTTGTTGTTGTTTTTTTGTGTTTTTTTTTTTTTTTTTTTTTTTTTTTTTTTTGAGACAGAGTCTCACTCTCGCCAGGCTGGAGTGCAGTGGCGTGATCTCGGCTCACTGCAACCTCCGCCTCCCAGGTTCAAGCAATTCTCCTGTCTCAGCCTCCCCAGAAGCCGGGAGTACAGGCGCCTGCCACCATACCTGGCTAATTTTTGTATTTTTAGTAGAGATGGGGTTTCACCTTGTTGGTTAGGCTGGTCTCGAACTCCTGACCTCAGGTGATCCACCCGCCTCAGCCTCCCAAAATGCTGGGATTACAGGCGTCAGCCACCGTGCCTGGCCCAATAATTCTTAAGTTACTAGGATACCAGTTAATGATACCGTTGTGGTCTAGAAGAGTGTATGCCCTACCCATTTGGATGACTCATTCCCAAAAAAGTGATTCCTTCAATAGCAAAATATTTAAAATTGCAAATCCTTTTCTAGATTAACAGCAGTTTTATTATATGCATTACTTTTAAGAAGTATATATACACACACACATGCTAAAGGAAATCCAGTGTCTTATTTAATACAAAAGAAAGCACCTATATATGAGACAGATGCATAAAACTTCCAACTTTTATAGCACATAAAACAATCTGATTAATCTCCAGGCTCAATTCTGAAAAGTACAGTAATTATGAGGCTGGAACTCAACTAAAAATTCCTAATGAATGGATTAGGCTGTTTATTTTTAATGTAGGAATGCCAAAAATTACTTAATACTTAGGTAGAAAATGGTGAAATGATTTCTCAAAAACATTATTGAACACTGCACCCATTTCCCAGTCAAGTGTCCTGAATAGGAAATTCAGTCCAGTACTTCACCCCTCTGTTAAGCCAAGCATTTAAGAGATTATCTTTCAGACTCCAGACCAGAGTGAGCTGGGTAAGAAATCCTCAAGCTGAGCACAGCGTAGCAAAGTTCCCATTTGGCTCCAGTTCTCACCTGTGCTAAACACAAAGGACAAACAAGCATATGAGACACAATTGACTTCTGCCCTCAAAATGTTTACCACCTGGAGAAAAAGCAGCAGGATGATACCAAGGGAGAAGTGCTGAAACTCGGGCCTGGGCAGCGGGGTGCACAGCAGAAAGTCATCTATAAGGGTCTGGGGGCTGCAGTGGAACAAGGCAGTACCAGCAGCAGGGCCAGAACTCAAGGCTGCAGAGACAGGTAAGAGGCAAGAAGACAAATGGACACATCTGGCTTTCTGTCCTGAAGGTGATGGAGAGGTACTGAAGGATCTTGAAAAAGTACGACTTGATCTGATTTTCACTTAATCAAATCACTCATGTGAAATAATGTGGCATACTGAGAAGCAGGAAAACAGCAAGATGAGAGGTTAGAAAGAAGTTGTAACAGTTCAAGAAAGACGGTAAAAATCCATACTAAATGAGGGACAGAGAAAAGGAGAAGCTATGAATGTTTATAAAGTAATCTCCATAGGATCAAGCTGCTTTCAAAACAATGGAGTATATGACAGAAAGGAATTGAGAACTGATGACCAGGAGGAAGGAGAACATTCTGTGTGTGAAGTGATACAGGGAGAGGGGGGCACAAAAAAATCCATTTTAGACAGGTTCAATTAAGATGCCTGTGCAACACCTACTAGAAAAGTCCAGTGGGCAGGTGGATAACAGAACCTAGATCTCAAAATACGTTTTAAGAGTTTTAGGCTAGAAAATCACTCTGGTGTTCGTGAGCAACGGCAGTTGAATCTTAAGTGCAAATGAGGTCACCAGGGAAAGGCTGCAGAATGAGAAAAGATGGTTGAGGACAGAGCCCTGGAGGAGGAGTGGGAACAGCAGCCTCCAAAGGAGATTAAGGCACGTACAAAAAGGTAGAAGAAAACCCAGACAACAGGGGAGGAGAGTGTTTAAGGTGATGGTGGTCAAGTGTCAAATGCTACAGAGATGTCAAGTAGGATAAGGCCTTAAAGAGCATTCCTCGAATTCATCCAATACAGTCCACTAGTGGCTCCTGCCGGCAGAGGCAGTGGCGTGAAGGCACAGAGCAGGCTGCAATGGGTTGCAAGTAGAGGGGAGGGGAGGAGAGGAAGCAGGAACAGTGTTTACCTACTTCTGTCTCCAGAGCTTTTGCTGTGGAGGGAACAAGAAAGTAGTAATTAGAGAAGACACAAGAGTGAAGAAGGGTTTGTTTTGCTCTTTCAGTTGGGAAAGGCCTAAATGTAACTATAGACTATCATGAAAGAGCTGAGTAATAAGGGAAAGGTTTAAGCTAACCAAAGGTTGAGAGTGGGGGAGTTGAGAACACCTCCTTCTGTGAGATTAAACAGAAAGAGACAAATGGTGGCTGCTATGATTTGGGGGCGGGGGTGGCACTGTAGGTAGAAAGAACTGAGAGAATTCATACCTGGTGCTTCCTTCTCTGAAAGGTAGGAAGCAAAGTTAAAGGTCTCAGTGCAAGCCACATGGCCACGAAGACCAAAACTGAGTTTTACTCATCCTGTCATTTGAATCACCCGTGCCACCCTATATTTGCATGACTCATCAGATGCCAACATGAAAGCAAGGCCATGTGGAAAAACAGCACACTTTAAATAAAAGTGTACATAAGCCATCATTACTCCACAGAAACCATGTTTTGTGGCAGATGGAGCGCTGGAACTAGGAGCCAGGGTCCAGGTTTCATGTCTCCATCTCTGCCATTTACTAGCTTAAATTAAATTTAGAGACTCAGTTCCACGGCATGTAAAATGGTGACTCCTGCCAACTGCCATACTTAACTCACAAGGTTACTGTGATAATCAAGAGAGAAACAAATAAGTGCTTTGGAAATTAAAGGGGAAAGGGCACTACAAGATTTTAGAGTGCGTACATTTTTATAAAGTGAACTGTTTACACCAGAGATTGCCAAGCCACGGGAATGCTGCTGTTCAGGAGTGAGCTCACAGAGCAACTAAGCCATCAGGCAGGGGTGGGGATGGTGGGCGGGGGGATGTTGAAGACAGCGGTGGGGGTTTAACACCATGGCAAACCCATTCTTAAAAGCTTGATAACCCCTAAGGAAATACTTTCTTTCACTAGGCTTTTCATTTGTTTACTTATTTTTAATACTTTAAAATCAAGTCTTAGGGGCTTTATTCACTTAGAACTCTTAACTGGGAATTAATGGTCCACTTGATCTAATTCCAACTTCATTTCTAAAGTACATTTCAATAAACAATACGATCAGTCTTCCTAACTCCCCAACATCACTAATTCCCCATTTTGATAACCCTCTGTCCAAATTCTTTTTCTTAAGGCCCAGTTCAAATTTCACTTCTACCACTACCAAGAGTTCCATAGTAGGAGTATGGAACTCATACTATGCACAAGGCACTGTCTTAAGTAATTCAAAGATTACCTCAGTATATTAGACCCACTTTACTTACAGACGAATAAACTGGTAACACAGGAAGGTTAGGTTCCTTGCCCAAAGTCTTACAGAATTATAAGCCCAAGCTGTACCACCTGCCATGAAGCCAAAATAATTCTCCGCCTTTTATTAATGATTCTTGTTTTTATCTAAATTACTCAATAAATAACTAAAGAATTTCAAAAGCTGGCCCTATCTTGCCACCAGGCCCATCTCCCCACTGCTCTCCTCTGCCCATGCCCAACCTCCTGGAGCCACAGGCCCTGCCACTCCCACTAGATTTCCCTCCGTGTCTTGCTTCTATGTCTTTTCTCTTCCTAAGCCTTTAGCCTGGATGTACCTTTCACCAGAGTGCAAAGTGCTTCAAAAGTCAACTCTTAAAAAAAAAATGTACAGCTTCTAATTTTGAAAGGCAATATAATGTAGGTGTTGTGGTTAAGACTGTGGACTCTGGAACCAGACTACTTGAGTCTGGATTTCAGATCCACTGGCAAAAGCCTCCAGAAGCTTGGACAACCAATCTCTCTGTACCTCTAAATCTCTCAGTAAAACAGGATGGTAACAGTACCCTACCACATGGGATCATCGTGAATATGAAATGAGTTAGCACCTATAAAGCATTTAGAATAGTTTTCATCATAAAGTGAACAAGGGGACTATGCCAGCAATGTATTATGAAGAGTTCCGTATTACCTTGCTCATACTGATTACACTTTGGATTTTTATGCTATGTCATAATAAATTTACTGTGCCTGTGTCTTTCTTTCCTATTAGCTCCCTTTATATCTAATGGGTGTTCAAATATTTGTTGACAGAATGTAAAAATATGAATCCTTCTATGACAAAGAAACAAAGTTATTTTTAAAAAACATTTTGTAAGAATGTTCAGATTATTTAATAGGAAAAAATTTTTTCACAAGTTCCCATGTTCTCGAGCATGAAAAAATGTTGGAAGTAACATACATTCTAATTATACCATAGAATTCTATTTTAAATTTTTCTAAAATGCAACAGCAAATACTTGCTTCGGGGTATTTTAAAAATTGAGCTCTAAGGAAAAAGGGAATCTATAATATAGTGTGGGGTTGTTAAGAATACCTCGAAGAAATATACATAACATAGAATGCCTTCCTTTCTTAATTCATGCACTTCAATTCAAAGCTCCACATTCCTGTCCAATATGAGTTTTCAGAGTTCTATTATTTGTAAATTGGAATAAAAAACCTAAGGTGATTTATCTAAAGGACAGAGCTAGAAATAGGACCTCTAATTACTTAAATACTGAGGCCTCTAGATTAAAACATTAAACCTCAAAACCCTTCAGCCAAAGGGATTAAGAAGATTAGAATGGGCTTGACAAATTACCACGGGGTTAGGAAAAAAAAAATGCAGAGAGAAAGTAGGCCAAATTTAAATAGGGAATGAAATGAAGTTCAAGAGAAAACTAATAGTTTGTGTGGACCCTAGACCTCTGTGGGAAAAACCATCAATAGAGTTATTTCAACAATTAAAGAAAGGAACAAAATCAATGTAAAAATAGCTGCTTATAGAGTTCTTGGGAAATGTGAACATGCAAAGTTAACCTTGGAAAATAATGTCAAATTGCTGTTGGCAACTGGAGAGAAGAAATACAAGACCAAAAAATAAATTATTATGTTAACATGAACCAGGATCCTCTCTTAGGAGGAACTGTTTAAATATCTCATGAGTGTTGGTCACCCCCACCAAAACAGCCAAAATCAAACCACTAACTCAGTCATCAACAAGATTCCCCTTGGAATATCTGGGTTTCTGTCCCTGAAGATTATCAGTTGGCTCAAAATAAAACACAGTTAATCTAGAGAAGAGCTAAAATGACCCGGGTGGCTATGTGAGAGCCTGGGAGAGCACATGCAGTCTGGGAAGATTCAAAAGAGTTGAATGTCTATATCTTGGCAAAGGCACAACTGGAGAGACTCAGGGGGATCCAATAACCATCCACAAACATCTCAAGTGTGAAAACAAGGAGGAACAGGAATTTCTCATCCTGGTACCAAATGTACTTCTGGCATTTCCGAGAAGGAATAGAAAGTGAAATGCACAAAGTAAAAACAACTCCAATTAATACCACCCAAAAAGTTCTTCCAGTTTCAATTTTATGCTTTCCTCTTGGGCTACTATAAGCAATTCTATTCTTTGCATTAATTTTTAGCAATTTAAGAGCTTTTCAAAAATATTGTGTCTATATTACTTAAAAAGTTTCCTTCAGAGTTTAAAGTGTTTCTTCATAAGATTGCCAGGTTCAGCCTGGGCAACACCCCAAGACCTTGTCTCTACAAAAAATAAAAATAAATCAGCCAAGCATGCTGCCATGTGCCTGCAGTCCTAGCTACTCAGGATGGAAAAGTGGGCACTGCTTGGACCCAGGAGTTCAAGGCTGAAGTGAGCTGTGATCGTGCTACTGCATTCCAGCCCGGGTGAGAGAGAGAAACTCTAAAGATTGCCAGGTTCCAGAAATTGCCTCTACTCAGCCAATAATGATTTTTTTCCTAAATTCTCCAGTTTGTAAATACTGGCTAAAAGTGTGGGGGGCGGTAGGGAGAAAGAAAGAAAACAAGCCCTACAGGCCAAACAAAATAATTTGTCTGCAGGCCCAACCTAGCCCTCAGGCTGCTGGTTTACAGCTTCTGCTCTAAAAAACCTGCCTGTCACTATTTTAAAACTTCTATATTTAGATCTTTTCAGGTTTAAAATTTGGCCTCTGAAGTGCAGGTGACTTATTCTTCATGCTTTCTTACAAGCGGTTTGGAAGTCGTCTGCTCCAGGCACCACCCATGGCAGCAGGGAATTCTGCACACAGATAACTTTACTCTGCTATCAATTTCCTAACACATTTAGGTCATGTAGGTCTGCCCAGGCTCACTGAGGTCGAGCTTACGGAATCTAGAGTTACCATAATAAAACATTTTTAGAAAACGGAACCTGAAAAGCTAGATAAGATTGTGTCATAATCTTCTACCTTATGTTGGGGGCAGAACAATGAAAAACATGAGCTACGGAGGAAAAGAGGAGGAGAGTCTTGGGGATCCCACTCCTGTGCTTCTCCCAAGGCTACTCTGACGTCCTACTCAGGAATGAAAGCCCCATCCATCAGTTCAGTGTGATCCTTGTGCCCGAGACCCACATGTCGGGGGGCTTCTTGAGCCACTGGGAGGGGCCCCTGTAGCTCCCTGTGGCCCATAAGCTTTTCCGGAACAGTTGTCATTTCCAGGCTACAGAACAAACTCAGCCCCCCTAGGGGAGGGCCTGGGAATTTTTATTTTTAACAATTTGTATTTTTATCAGGCTTCCCAGGTGATTCTGATGTGCTGCCAAGTTTCAGAATAAATGAAAAATTCCCTTTGATCTATGGTACTGGGCTTATATCCTGGGAAGAATTCTCTAATGGTCTCTGCACATGGTGTGGCATAAGCCAGTGGCACATGCTATTCCTTCTTCCTGGAATACTGACACTGCTTAAGCCCCAACACCCCTCACTTGGGCCACTCCTACTCACCTTCAGCTCTCATTCAAATAGTACTTCCTCAGAGAAGCCTTCCTCAGCTCCTTAGTTCTAAGTCACAATCCCCTCTTATAGCTCTTAGAATAGCTTGTAGTTTCCCTTATAGCACTTGTCAAAGCTTCTTATACATGGATCTGAGTGATTACTTGACTAATGTCAGTTTCTAATAGGACAGTTAAGATCCAAGAGGACTGGAACCATCTGGTTTTGCCCACCATTTTAACCTCTCATCCCCAGCACCAGGCCTGGCACACAACAGGGGTTCAAGATATTTTGGTTAAAATTGCTGAATACATGATGTGTTTGTGAGAGTAAGCTGCTTAAATGTGTTTTGAGTGGTGCAGGAGCAGGATGTGCACCATCGGCATATCCAGAAGTAAACCGCCTGAAGGTTTAGATCATCTCATAATAGGGAAGTCCCTCTTCTTGAGGTTTAAATTAAATATGGAAGTAGGAAAGAATGTTTGTATATGTGAATGCAAAGTGAATCACTATCACACAGTTTTCCACTGTGGGTTAATTCATGCAGTTGTTAGGCTGGTAGTTTATTGAAAATAGGAGGCTCAATTTAAGAGCTGCAATGAATCAAAGTGGTCCAACAATGAATGTACACTTGGGTCTTGGAAATTAAATGCAAGCATCTGGCAACAAAACGTTCCTAACATGATGTGACAAGAGGCCACAAGGAAAAGAGCAATTGCTTTGCAGAAATCAGTCACAATCAGGACTCAAAGCCAGACTGATCTGGAGGAGGAATTAAGACCATATAAGGATTCTTAGGTACACATGCTCGGTCCCAAGGTTTTAAATACCTACTAAATAAACACAAATCCCAAATTATTTTCAGTTCTGACATTTTCCCAGAGTTAGACTCCTGTTTATGACTGCCACTTGTCATCTCTACCTGGATACATTACAGCATCTCAAACCGAACACATGATCTTAATACATGACCCAACTAGAGTTCTTAGTTTTCCAGGTCATTTCCCTCTCGGTAGCTAGTATCATCCCACCATCCTTGCCTTTCAAATAAAAAGTCTACCAGCCTTGTTTGATGCCTCGCCTCCCCTCACCTCAGGCCACTCCTATCTCCTGTCAATCACAGAGCCCTATCAGTTCCCTGCCAAACAGATCCAGAACTTGTCCACTTCATACCACGTACATGGCTACTATCCACATACATGGCTACTACCCCAAGCCACTATCATTTCCTATCTCCCAACTGGTCTCCCTGCTTCCACCTTTGCCCCTCTCATCCATTTCCCACCCAGAAGCCAGAGTTACAGTTTTTTAAAAAGAAAAAAAAAAAGTAGATATGTCCCTCCCCTGCTCAAAATTATCCAATGGTTTCAATCACAAATAATACCCAAATGCCTTTCACGGCCAACAAAGCCTCCATGGTCTTACTCCTGCCTATGTCGCCAGTTCCATCTCACATCCTCCCCTCACTCTCAGTGTTCTAGCCATACTCCCCTCATTTCTGTTTATTTTGGGTGGTGGTGTGGGGGGAGGAGGGAGCGGTTGAGACAGGGTCTCACTGTCGCTCAGGCTGGAGTTCAGTGGCAGTATCTCAACTCCCTACAACCTCAGCCTCTCAGGCTCAAGTGATCCTCCTATCTCAGCCTCCTGAGTAGCTGGAACTACTTTTAATTTTTTCCCAATAGCTGGGAAAACTTTTTAATTTTTTGATAAAACATCTCACTATGTTGCCCAGGCTGGTCTTGAACTCCTGGGCTCCCCAGGAGTGATCCTCCCACCTCGGCCTCCCAATGTGCTGGGATTAACAAGGCCATGCCTTTTCCTAAATTCAGGCCTTTACACTTGTTTCCTCTGCCTGAAATGAAATACGTCTCTGAGCTCTGCATGACTGACGCATGTTCATCCTCCATGTGAGGTGTCTCTGTGAAAGGTGCCTCCTCAGAGGGTCCTGTGCTGACCACCATTTTTAAGTCAGCCTCCTCTGATTCATCTCATCCTCATCACCCTCTTTACTTCTTGCGGCACTCTTATCAACGCCTATGATTTCATTATAACTATATTATCAATGCCCCCCATTAGAATAGATGGTCTATGAGACCAGGGATCTGTCTACCTTGATCTCAGCTGTATCATCAAGAACCTACTACAGTGCATGGAACACAGTGGAGGGTTAATATCAGTTTGTTGGGCTGGGCACAGTGGCTCACACCTGTAATCCCAGCACTTTGGGAGGCTGAGGTGGGCGGATCATGAAGTCAAGAGATTGAGACCATCCTGGCCAACATGGTGAAACCTCGTCTCGAATAAAAAAATATATACACAAAAAATTAGCCGGGCATGGTGGCACATGCCTGTAGTTCCAACTACATGGAAGGCTGAGGCAGGAGGATCGCTTGAACCCGGGAGGTGGAGGTTGCAGTGAGCCAAGATTGCGCCATTGCACTCCAGCCTGGCGACAGAGCAAGACTCTGTCTCAAAAAACAAAACAAAACAAACAAAATACCAGTTTGTTGAATGAGTACGTTAAAAAAAAAAAAAAGAAAAAGGAAAGAAAAAGAGGAATGATGAAAGATAAAAGTGAGGCCAAGAAACACACAGGAAATGAAACTCACTGTATCCTCCATGGCTCTGCTGTAGGTTCGGTCTGGGTGACAAATTACAACTCTTCTGGTCAAAAACACAAACATCTCACCACTGCCACCAATGCTGCCACCAAACAGCAAGTCAAAAGAACTGGGTGTTCTAGCTCTGGCTCTGATATTAACTACAACTTTTTGCAAAATGAAGGACTTTACCCTTTAAGACCTTATTTGCAAAATGAAAGAGCTGTCTTTAGCTTTAAAATTCAAACATTCTAAATTCAGTATATGATTTGGTATACCCATCTCTGCTTATTCCACTTCTCCTTTTCAATAAAAAGCCTATCTAGCACATAAATCCTTTATCTGAAACCTGTGTCTAGGCACACCTCCCCACCTCCACGTTCCATCTCAATGCCCCCAGCCTCGGGGTCCATGTGCATGAGCACTCACAGAGATGCCACGGCTTCTCTCTCTTTCACTTGTTATCTCTAGACAGAAAAGAACGATATAAAGAAATCTCAATCTTCCAATTGGGCAGGTCCACCTCTGATGTGGCAACTCTGCAGCTGGACGGGATCCACGTGAGATCGCGGAGTTCTGGGCCTGGCCTCAGATTGGTCACTTCACACTGCTAGACATCTTCCAGTTGACGTAAAACTAAAACAGACACTCCCGGAGAAAAACCAAGTGCAGATTTTTGTGGTCCAGGCCTCTAGTCGGAAACCGACCTTTTGATAATTTTTTCCCTTAGGATCTTTGGAAGAATTAAACTTTAATTCTGAGAAAGACTTATCCCAGAGAAGACTATGAGTTTTTATAGTACCAACTAGAACATAAAACCAAGTATTTCCCATGAGGTGAAAGGAAAGGACAGGGAGTAAAGAATCCACACTTAGGTGGCTAGAGAATGAAGGAACATAAAAACCAAAAAATAAAAAGAGTGACTTTCCAATTTGGGTTCATTTGTAAAATCACTATTTCACAGAAGCAGTGGAAAGGGGTAGGGGAGAAATGAAACAAACCACAAAACCCAACTATCCCCTCACACTCAGAGCACTAGGAAAGAGAAAATTTCCTCTGACTTGCCTTAGGACCAATTAAGCAAATAAAGGAAAATCACTCAGCTACTCCCACACCCCCTTCTCCCAGCTCTACCAAGAGACAGCTTCCCCTTCTGCCCCAAACCCAAAAATAACCCAGGCTATTGGTAATATTCTCACCTATATTCAAAGTTTACCTGCTCTGGGGCTAATTTCCACATTTTTGGTCCTACATCTCTACACTTTCCTTGGGTTCACCAGAATAATAATCCTTGGATTCACAAGAAATATTAAAATTTGAAATATAAAATTCAAGTATATTTTTAAAACTTTCAAAAATACCCATTTTGCTAAGTGTATAAACAGAAAATTAATGCTAAGTCTGTGCAACATGAGATCTTCATTAAAAGAGCAAAATCAAATCCAAAACCTGACCAGGGAGCACCAAGATCCCCACTTCCCGGATTGACGACTCCTTCATTCCATGCTCTTGGCTCCTAATTTGCCCTCAAAGGGGTCACCGAGAGCCCTCCATCTGTCTGACCCCCTCAGTTCCATCCTCCCACTCACCAACAGCGCCACGGGGCTCCCAGGCAGTTGGTACCACAGCTGCCGCTGCCTGGCATGAGAACTCGGGCCGAGACCAGAGGGAACCACCGCATTAAAGGAAATGCTGACTGTGAACAGAGGCTGCAGATGAAAGGTTTACTTCTACTCCATTGTTGACAGCAGATGCACTGGTGCCAAAAAAAAAACCCCATTCTTCAATGACCAAATGTATGGAGGATTTTGTTCCTCAGAAAACATGCAAGAGCCAATTAACATAGTCCTATGTTCAAAATACATATTAAATATAAGGGGTTTTAAGACACTGAAGAATCTCAACTCAGCCTACTTATTTCCACCCAAGAAAACAGTAAGTTAACAGGAATCCTCTCCCAGAAACATCTACTAGGAAACCTAGGGCTGAATTACACAGGTTTATAAGCACCTCGTTCCAGAGAGAGAAAACTCAATTGTTCTCTAATTGTTTCATAAGTGTAGGCTGATCTCTATACTAGACTAATCTGTCCTGCAGCAAGGACCGATTTCTCTGGCACAGAATCTTGCACTTAAGCATATGGTTGGGCATTTGGTAGACAATGCAAATATTTGCTAATTTGTCTAAAAATTGTTTTAAAGCAATTTTTTAGGTTTGTTATTTTTAGAAAGAATGTTAAGTTGTCCCCCCCCCCCCTTTTTTTTTTTTTTTTAAACTGGGAACATACAGCTAACCCTATTTGATAAAGAAAGAAAGAAACTCTCATTGAGTTCTTTATTGCCTGAATTAGAAGGCAGGGGGAGTGACTGTTTTGAGGAGGGAGGATCTCACTTTATTTTGCCTTCATTCAGCTGCCTACCCCTACCTCCATCACAGCACAAAATGTTCAATAAATGGCTCAGTGCATTAAATCTTCTTAAGTTAGGATCAGAGATGCAGTTCTGCCATCTTGGTCATTTCTGCCATTGGTTTTACTCCTTCTTTCTTATTTTTCCTTGGTCCCCAAACAAGTGGTATTCAGAAGACATCTGGAAGTACTCAGCTCAAGAGCTCAGTGAGGACGGCACCCCAACCTCCCTCTTCTAAACCAGAAGCTGACACCAGAAAGTTACAAGTTGTCCTCCTGGAAGATAAAGGTTATCTTTCCAGGTAGGAATCACGCCCCCACCTGAGGAATTTCACCTTCTGGCATTATGTAAAACATATCTGGATGGCATAAATGTCTTTGAGCAATGGAGATGCAAATTAGAATGTTTATACAATAGATGTAACTAAACCATAGACTTTACATTAAAAGATAAGTTTTAAAATTCCCTTCAAACATTTCACTTCACACTACTAATCTTAATTTTGGAGAAATTGGTACCACTTTAAAATTTCAGTGACAGAATGTATGCTCTAATTCTCCTCATTCAAACACAATGCTGCTGTTTATCCATGCAGTAGAAAAAGAAATATTTTTTTTCTTGGTTTTAAAAAGTACAGCATTTGGGTTACTTTTAAAACCCATAATTGAATAACATTCTGTATTATATTTGTGACTCACTCTCAAGTGAAATGTCACCGTATACCCACTCTTCTTTTTTAGGTGATAAATAATAAAATATTAGAACAGAACTTTAGTTATAAAGTTCCTTACAATTTACAGGGAACAAGTCCTTCTAAAATAATAAAAATTAAGAGACTCTGTCATCTTGTTTTTACTTTTTTACGGTTTAGAGCCCAGGAAAAATTAACTGGGTCTGAGGAGGTATTAATCAAAAAAAATTTTTTCGTGTTCACATTGTTACCCCAGTGTCTCCCAAAACAATAAATAAGACACCTGAAAACCTTCCTGAAACTTTCTGGTAACCGAAATCTTCTCTCTCTTGATTGGGTTTTGGATCCTATAGGTGTATCTATTTTTTGAAACACAAACTGTACTCTTATGATCTCTATGTTTTACTGTATATAAATTTTGGCTCCATAAAAAGGTTCTCTAAACCTTTCTGCAAACTGCATTTCAATATCTATAATCAGTCGTCCATCTCAGATCTGAGTTTTTCGCGGGTTATTAACAAGATCCTAAAGCCAAAAAGAATTCCCCCTACCCAAAAGCCATGGACTAACCTCCCCACCTTGCCCCACATCCTCCGGACATTTTCATCTCAAATCCGTCTTCGAATTGGAATTCCCCAAGATAAGAAATTCCACACACCTCAACTGACTGAGAAGGCATCTTCAGTTTGGTGAGCTTGGCTTTGGCAGGCACTTTCAAGTCTGTTTTTTCAAAGGTCTGCTGTCGATAGTCCTCCGGCAGTGGTTTCAGTTCAGGGGATTCACTAGGGGCCTGATCTTGACCATCCATGGGCCGGACATAAGCCGTGGGCTTCTGCTGCATTGCAACACTTTTTGAGGGGAGGGAGGGAGGTGGAAATGTCTGAGAAGGCGGCTGGGCAGGGGCCACCAAACTGTCTTGAGGGGTCTCTTTATCATGGACTTTCACTGCTAGGTCCTTGGGAGATTTGGCTGGGCAATAGCCTTTACTGTTATTGCTGCTGCCATGAACCTTGCTGCTTCCTTGCGTCCGGGGAAGAGTTTGCTGGTTGGAATGTATAGGTGACAAAGGGGGAACTGGGGAAGGCAAAGAGATTAAGGGAGAAAGCTCCCTCTCTGGAGCCGAATCTGTCACCGAAGCACAGTGGTCTCCGTCAGCTCTTCGGTCACCTTTCTTGTGATGACTAGAGCCGAACCCCTCCTGACCAAGGCGATCCTGGGTCAGGTGCTGGCTGTCCGGTGGGCCGCAGCTTTTGGCATGGAGACTTGGCATTGGTTCAGTTCTTGGCTGCGCCATCTTTGGATTGTGGCTAATGTTGCCAACAGAAAGTGGTCCAGACGCAGGAGTGTGAATGGACTGGTGGTGGACACTAGTGTGGAAGGAGCTGGATGGAATGCTGCTCCCTTTGTCAGGAATTAAAGGATATTTCGGCTTTCCCAACCTATTTTCAGAAGCATCCAGGCGATGAGTGTGAGACTTAGTACTAAGGAACTCCTTCACTTCTTCGTAGTTTCCCAACATGTTCTGTATTCGACTAGACAGCTCATCACCTTTTGCTGTCTGAAAAAAAAGGAGAATTTGAGAATGAAAAAAAACTAAGGAAAACTACCATTTAACAAACCACGTTATATAATACTATTAAGGAAAAAACTCCGAACTTAATGTACGACATGTAGAATTTAATGTGCCATTTTAACTCAATTCCCCTGTTGAGAAGACTACCATGGATACATATTACTAACTGTAGAAGACTAGCATTACAAAAGAAAACCACAAACTTTGGTAATTCTAACAACCTTCAGAGAATTTTCATACTTTGTTTTCAAAAATCTCTAGAATAAGTTAGAATAAGTTATCTTATTTTCACAGCTGTGACCCTTGTTCGAACTCAATTATACTGAATTGTTTCATCATAGGGTTCAACATTGTGATAAATCAGGACTTCAATGTCTAGTGTTCAGTAAATACCTTGTAGGGCTCTCCAAAAAGGGGAATCTTTTCAGGAAATGCCTCTTTCTCTTGGTGGGCTTCCTGGTTGCGTCTTTCCTTCTCTCTAATTCGAAGCAGGTTTCTGTCGTCATTGTACAAACTGTTTCAGATGCCACAAAAGAATGAAAACAATAAAATTTATCAGTCTCCAAGTTTTGTCAGGCATACTTACATGTGAGAAGGGAGGTGAGGACAGGTCTGGGAAGAAGCAGTGATGACGGCTGTGATTTAAAGAAAGCCTAAGTTCCTTAACCCAGCCTTAGGGTGAGGCCTCAGTCACTTGGCTGTGACCCTCCAGCCTGGGGTCCTGGCTCCCAAAACCCAAGCATTCACTCTGGGCCATGGTCTCCATCATGGCTCAGGACTGGTTCCAAACTGAACAGCCTTTTATAGGCAGCAGTGGAACTGAGACAAGATTAATGATATTTTTATTTTCAGCTTGCAAAATATGGGGTAGAGGTGGAAGCTTTTCATCTGCAGGAGTCAGCAGGATGTGGACTTTAGAAAGGCCGTTTTCCTGGATCAGTAGCGTACATTTTGAAAGATTAAAATCAAAAGGCTTATTTCATAATTAAAAGATTACCAGGCACCCAAAACAGCATTTACTTTCTCAGCCTACTCTACTGGGAGTGTCTTGGCATGTAAACCCCACAAAAAATGATTTTTATTTCTCATTTCAAACGTCAAGGATGAGAAAATCCAATTATAGATGTCAGCTCTACCGACGGAGAACGCTTTATAATCTGACTGCCCTACTTAAAACACATAAAAATGTATCCTAAATCATCAGCCCTGGCACTAAAGGGGTTAAACGGCATTCACCGAGAAACAAATCAGAGATGGAGACCAAAAGTAGTGCAGTTTTAACCAACACATAAACCAAAAGTGGACCTGCCTCATTGTCAGCACCAAGGGTCACTTCCCAGCCCTCACACGCAATGTATGATTAAAAAGTGAAATAAGAACTATAAAATGACTTCTGTCTTCACAGACTTGCTCCTAGGGAATCTACTGAATGTTTTCTCCCAATGCCGTTTGAACAAACAGGAAAATATTTGATTGTCTAGTTAAGGCTGTCGGTCAGTACCTTCGGAAATTCTAGCCCTGATGTCAGACGCCCTTCCCCACCCCCTTTCCTGGCCTCTTTGCCCTCTTCTGACTTCTCTTATTTCCTTTGACAAAAGCCTACTGGTCTCCCTGCCTCCCCCACATCTTATCCCTTTAATTCAGCCTTCTCATGAAAAGAAACCTGATTTAAGGCCCTGGTTCTCATGTCACAATCCATATTTTAAAATAACAAGCATTTGATGGCTCTTTACTACTGCAGAATAAACTCTAAATTCTTGCTTTGGCATTAAAATTCCCCCATAATCTGACGCAGATCTACTCTCTAGAAATTATCTACTGTCCCCTTGCAGGCCTGTCACATGCATTCTACTTGACAGTCAGTCAGTCACGTCCATCCCCTGAGCATACCCTGTAAGGCAGCCTCTTGCTCTAATTTCCACCAGGCTCTCTTTACTGAAAGATAACCAATTCTTCCAGAGCCAGCTTCCCTAGGAAGTATGACTCTCTTACAAACTACCTCTACATTCCAGTCACACCTGACTACTCCCCATTCCTCAGTGATATCCTAGACTTTGATGCTTTCATTCCAGCCACAAATTTCCACTGCTTCTCTCTCCACCACACACCCCCATCCTTAATTTTCAGCTTCTGGCAAATCTCTGGAATGATTCAAATGTCACTCACTCTAAAGGCTTCCTCAAATCCACCAAGTATGTGCTTACCTAACACATCAATTAGTTCTCTCTCCTCCTCCCTTCTCCCCTAGCATGTGAACTCCATCAGAAACGAACCTCGCAAATTTAGCACCTCTCTTGGTGCTAAAGCATGGTACTCTGCATAGAAGCTAATCATTAAATACTTTTAGATTAAAAAACAGCCACTACACTTACGTATTTTTACAAACTTACAACTATTTAAAAAAGATTTAACTCTGGAAGACACATGCAAAAATTATTTTAAAAAATCATCTAAAAAGTAATCTAGTATTTCTATAGCCTTTTAATCTATGGGAGTAGGATGTATGGAGAGAAATTAGCTGCCTGACTGAATTCACTACAATGTGGTAAATAATTATCTCCTTAGGCCAGGCGCAGTGGCTCACACCTGTAATCCCAGCACTTTGGGAGGCCAAGGCAGGTGGATCACGAGGTCAAGAGATCGAGACCATCCTGGCCAACATGGTGAACCCTATCTCTACTAAAAATACAAAAATTAGCTGGCTGTGGTCGCAGGCGCCTGTAGTGCCAGCTACTCTGGGGGCTGAGGCAGGAGAACTGCTTGAACCCAGGAGGCGGAGGCTGCAGTGAGCTGAGATCGCACCACTGTACTCCAGCCGGGGCAACAGCGCGAGACTCCGTCTCAAAAAAAAAAAGAAAGAAAGAAAGAAAAAATTATCTTCTTAGACCTGTGTGTATCAAAAACTTTTCCTAGATGATGGATATTGCAATATCAGATTTTAAAAGAACTCTTAAAACCACAAAGTTAATAATTTATGCCAGTCAAAATACTGAAAAGAAGAAGCTGCTGAACCAGAAACTGGTCGTGTAATCTTCTGTAATGAAGTCTGAGTCTCACCTGTTTCAGTTAAACTTACTTCCAGTTGGCAGTAGCACACTGGACTTGATGACACTCAATTCCTTCAATTATTTTATCATTTTGGTAATTCCTCTTGTTGGTTCAAAAGATCATATGCCATTAGCATATAACCATAGAAGCCAAGTAAGCAGGCTGATTAGGAAATCACTTTTTCCTTCAAACTTGTTTTATAGCCACTTTGAGCCAGTTTTTGCAGGGAGGAGCTAAGCAGGCAACCATCCTCTGAGCATCTAAGCTTCTATTCTCCCAAACTATCCAGTGCATGCACCTTGCAGCAGTCAAGACAGGCCTATGGGTGAGCGGGTGGGGAAAGCTTACCATGGGCATGTGCTTGTCTGCTTGGCTATTCTCACCACCAAGGGAGTTCTCCCCTCTCTGATATGCCACTTAAAACAGCAGAGCCCCTATAGCCAGTCAGTGTTCACAGCCTTAGGCTCCGCTTCACAGGGCAGAGCTCCGCCCCTTCTAAATAAATGCTACCTTTGTCTCAGAGAAGGGAACTCCAAATGGCAATTCTCAGTCCAGGATCCAAAAGGGAGGGTGTGAACAGTTACACCTCAACTAACAGGCTGCTCAGAGTCCTCAATTTTCTCATCAATTCCACACACTCAATTTTCCTTTAACGAAGTTACATTACTAAAATATTTTTAAATCAATCAACTCAGCCTTGTATTAGCCTTATTTCAGCATCAGTTGGGTTTCTCCCATACTTCCAGATTTTCATTCCAAAATACTGAAAATTGCCACAGAAATAACCAGAAGAACACAATTAAGCCATTCTTTCACAGAATTCCTAACACTGGTTTATTACTATGTGATTCTAAAATCAAGAATTCTCCCACAGGGAGGAAATCCTATTAAATTAAGGATTCTAGTTAATTAAGGTTTTACTTCATTAGTGTCAAAAAAATTTTTTTAAACCCACGTTAAGATTTTATCGGCAGACATGTAATTCTACACCTATTTCGAGACAAATTTTCTTTTTATGATTCACCATCACCCTTCAACTAAAAGCCCTATAAGTAGTGAGGTGAAAAAAGACATCATGGATATCACTGGTAGGATGAGTTTTATGAGGTCCAGGCTTTGTGAAAGACACTTGCTCTCCCCACACTGTCCAACAACTCCCTCTTGGGTGGAACTCACAAAAGCTCCTGGGCAGGGCAGAGGAAGACCGAAGAGGCAGGAAGTTCACAGAGTAGAGGTAGGCTTTGAGCCCCTGCTCTGGGTTGCCTCCTTTCTCCTTGCAACTAAATTGTTTTGCCAGTCACATTAAATAGCTTTCTGGTTTCTTGCTGCAAATTTGCAATGGCTTAGGGAATGATCTGTTAAAAGCTCCCAGGCAAATCTTTTGTGAATATTTTCTTTTTCTTGGTTCCATTTTGAGATAAAGGAATATGAAATTTTAAAAATAAACCCACTATTCATACCATGAGTAAACCTTTGTTGAGCCTATACACATCACTGTTTAAACCAAGGTGTAAGCAAGGAAGGGGCAGATGGGAAAATTTTTTAATGAGGGAATTTTAGGAGGCGGCAAATACCCTACATGATTCACAAACTCTGTAGCAACTTTTTTTTTTTTTTTTTTCCAGATGGAGTCTCGCTCTGTCGCCCAGGCTGGAGTGCAGTGATCTCAGCTCACTGCAACCTCTGCCTCCTGGGTTCAAGTGATTCTCCTGTCTCAGCCTCCCGAGTAGATAGCATTAGATGCACCCGACACCACGCCTGGCTAATTTTTGTATTTTTAGTAGAGACAGGGTTTCACCAAGTTGGCCACACGGGTCTCAAACTCCTGACCTCAAGTGATCCACCCACCTCAGTCTCCTAAAGTGTTGAGATTATAGGCGTGAGCCACCACGCCCAGCTGTCAATAATCACCTTTCAATAACTATAAGTTAACTGTCACTTTAATAAAGGTGTCTTTTTTTTTTTCCAGTCCTGTGTTAAGGAAAAATGTATCCCAACATCAGCCTGGCCATTCTTTCCCACTGTTCCGAATAGAATATAGTGAGTTACAAGTTCTCCTTAGCTGATTTTAGATGGTACTTTGCATTAGCTAAGAGGTTCTCAAACCTGAGTCAGTTAGCTGGAGGGTTTGTCAAAACACAGATCACAGAGACCTACAGAGTTTCTAAGGCAGTAGGCCTGACATGGGCCCCAAGGCTTGTATGTTGAACAAGTTTCCAAGGGATCTCCAGGGGTAAAAGACAGCACATCCTTTTTGGGGCTTACCAAAATACAAAAGCAATGATAACAGCAGCAGCAGCCTGGCCAAGGAATGACATCACTTAACATGTTAGTCAACACTGATTTTGGCACTATCACATCAGTTTTCTATTTAATTTTCACAACAACCCTGTGAGAGTGGGATTATTAACCCCATTTTCCAACTGAACGAAAGCTAGCTCAGAGATTGACTTGCGGCCAGGTGGGGTGGCTCACGCCTGTAATCTCAGCAATTTGGGAGGCCAAGGTGGGCGGATCACTTGAGGTCAGGAGTTCGAGACCAGCTTGGCCAACGTGGTGAAACCCTGTGGCTACTAAAAATACAAAATATTAGCTGGGCGTGGTGGCGCACACCTGTAATCCCAGCTACTCAGGAGGCTGAGGCAGGAGAATCACTTGAACCCGGGAGGTAGAGGTTGCACTGAGCCGAGATCATGCCACTGCACTCCAGCCTAGGTAACAAAGCAAGACTCCATCTCAAAAAAAAAAAAAAAAAAAAAAGCAGGGCATGGTGGCTCACGCCTGTAATCCCAGCACTTTGGGGGGCTGAGGAGGGTGGATCGCCTGAGGTTGGGAGTTTGAGACCAGCCTGGCCAACATAGTGAAACCCTATGTCTCTACTAAAAATACAAAAAATTAGCTGGGTGTGGTGGCAGGCGCCTGTAATCCCAGCTACTACGGAGGCTGAGGCAGGAGAACTGTTTGAACCTGGAAGGCAGAGGTTGTTGCTGTGAGCCGAGATTGCGCCACTGTACTCCAGCCTGGGCAACAAGTGTCAAAGTCTGTCTCAATTAAAAAAAAAAAAAAAGGGTGAGGGGATTGACTTGCTCACAAATGGTAGACCTGAACATTCACCAATGCCTGGCAAGAAAGCTTATACTCTCAGCCACAGTTCTGCTAGCAAAGCTGTCAGGCTGCGTTAAATAAAGCAGTGAAGACAAAGAAGGTGTGCTAAAGTGTGCTAACTTATAACCACTCATATTTCTTTAGTCTCAAAAAGGTACACATCAACAATTTAGTATCATCTCCGCCAGCAGGGTCATCTCAGAGCCACAAAATTGATGTTTGGTTAAACTGATCCACACAGGCCTGTCCTTGAGGAACGACCTAACAGAGGACCCCTTTGAGAGAAGGATGGCCAATGGCATGAAGCTGCTCTTTCAGTTATAAAAACTGTGGGCCGGTCACAGTGGCTCACATCTGTAATCCCAGCACTTTGGGAGGCCGAGGTGGGAGGATCACCTGAGGTCGTCAGGGGTTTGAGACCAGCCTGGCCCACATGGCGAAACCCTGTCTCTACTAAAAATACAAAAATTAACCGGGCGTAGTGGCACGTGCTTGTAATCCCAGCTACTTGGGAGGCTGAGGCAGGAGAATCGCTAGATCTCGGCTGCAGTGAGCCGAGATCGCGCCACTGCACTTCAACCTGGGCTACAGAGCGAGACTCCATCTCAAAAATAAATAAATAAATAAATATAAAAACTGTGTTACAATTCTTGTTTCAGAGCCTCTGATGTGCCCCTGGGAAGGAGGATGCAAAGTCTGACCACTCCACAGACACCATGAGTTCTACTGGAAGTCTGCAAAAATCTATTTAAATAGGGAAATAATTCTCCTTTCAGTAGCCAAGTTCTTGCCTTCAGATCATATACTACTGTCCACCATCTTTGAGGTTCAACCTGATGTATCAAAAGATCTCTACAGAATTCATCAAGCCACCTCCTCCACATTTGTATTTTAGTTAAGTGAACTAGAAATGGGGAGAACCACAGGCTTCAGTGTCCAGTGCCTGGTGAGATCAGTCACATGTGAAAACTCACCTGCAGAACATAAACACTCAAGCCATGAAAGGGGGACTGTGCCACAGACGTTTCACTGACCGAATCCACTAACTCAGCACAAGAGCTTGAATGAAGCTTTGGAAAGCTAAAACGTGCCAGAATGCTCTCACTTTCAGAAAGGTGGTGAAAATCCTGAGGAATTCAGAGCTGCCTGTTCAGCCCCTCAATACAGTCATTTAGTCAACCCCATGCTGGGGCCTGTCAGGGCACATTTACTGACTTTTCAAATGCTTCTTGGGGGTAGGGATGGATGTGTTTAAAATATTGTGGTAAAATGTAAGAAATCACAACTCTGTAAGGATTAGTGAGAGTGATTCCTTTTTCTCTTTCCTTCACACTAAAAAAGGAAATAGCATATGTGGATGAGGAAAAGATAGTAACAGAAAGGCCCAAGTTGGGCATGAGACGTGGGGCAGTGTGTTGGCTCTGGTATCATCTGGCTGTAAGCACCTTCTCCCAGGCTGGAGCCCATGGGCCCTGCTGCTAAACTAGGTTAGTCATGCGGGATTGCTGAATGCCATTCGGTGCTTCCATGGCAACTCACGGCCCACAGGGCTGGCTGTGCACAGCTGACTACCCATTTATCACCCTTGACTGGTCACTTCACATAGGCCTTCCTCTGATACATGTCACCAACTCTCTAGAATTCGAGTTTAAATTTTTAACTCTCTCTTGGATGACAGAGTGTGATTTCTCCTATATATTTATCTTCATAAGGATGGAGACATCTGGCAGGAAGGAAAGGGAAAATCCTAAAATCAACAGTGTACATTAACTCTGGAAAGGATTAAGTCTTATTACTGTTTAGAAGCACTATGCCATTCTGATTTGAATGTACAAAGGATAGAGCAACAAATAAACACAAAAGTTCGGCAATCCCAGCTTAGAGGATGGTGAGATAGAGATCTGTCACAAACAGGGAGGCAAAAAGACAGGATGCTAGGGTTCTTCCACACCATGTAAGTGACTTTTTCATTTTAAAAGCCACATCTCAACTTTCTAAGTCCATCTTTTGGCCTTTTGTTTCCACATTCCCCTATTCCTACCATCTAACATGCGGGAAACATTTTTCACACATTGGCTTTATGAAAAAGCATCAACATACCTCCAAGCACAATACTAGTTTGACTTCCAAATACAATTTAAACATGAGAAATCAAAGTGACTCCATGTCTGAAGGCAGGATAAAATGTTGCTTCAAAGAAGGGAGATTTTTTTCGTCTCTCCATCCATGTGAAAGAATTTGTAAGAGACTTTCTCATAATAAAAATCACTCAGCTAAATCGTCCCAGGGTTTTCACTCTCAATAACTAACATGAATAACATTCTTAAAATTTATAAAGAAAGTAATCAGAGACTTAATCCTAAAACAAAGTCTTACAATCTGATTTCATATTAAAAATATCAGCCAACTACAATGACAAAACAGCACGATGTCAGTTGTTTTCCTGGAAGAGCCCCCAGGGGATTATCTCAATGCATTAGCACTCTCTGCTACTCACTTCTGTTTGCCACAGAAGGCTCAGTCTTATTATAATTTATTATAGTATTTATTTTTAAAGTTTTATGTGACCCCATTTTGCAAAATTAAATCAACCTTGAAAACACTGCCCACATAACTTCTTGCCATTCTCTAGGAGGGTGATACATGACAGTGAAATTTACATTCTTGGTACCCATCATAAACACTCTCCAGGACTCAGAGCCAGTAAGATATTTTGCATATCTTAAATGCATCCTGCAAGTTTTAAATTGAGAACGACTCTACACTTGGGCAAACGTGACTAAAAAGTCACATCAATTCTAAGGAGAGACATGTTAATTTACCTTTCAAAATGAACTTGCCAGGTACTTCTGTATGCCTATTAATATGTAGCAAAGGTCTGAAAGGATACATTTCACAAAAACCTACCAAGCAGGGCCGAGAGCAGTGGTTCATGCCTGTAATCTCAGCACTTTGGGAGGCCGAGGCGGGCAGATCACTTGAGGTCAGGAGTTCAAGACTAGCCTGGCGAACATGGTGAAACCCCATCTCCACTAAAAATACAAAACATTGGCCGGGTGTGGTGGTGTGTGCCTGTAATCCCAGCTACTCAGAAGGCTGACTCAGGAGAACTGCTTGAACCCAGGAGGTGGAGGTTGCAGTGAGCTGAGAACGCGCCACTGCACTCCAGCCTGGGTGACAGAGCAAGACTCCATCTCAAAACAAAAACAACCTACCACCAAGCAGCATGGGATTAGGGTGCAGAATGTTAAGTGGTGATGTGGTTTGGGGAGCATTTTGTTAACGTTGTTTTTAAATTCTTTTCACAATGAGAAAGCATCTATTATTTGTATAAAAGTTCTGATTAAAAACTAAAAGAGCCTCATATACTATAGCAACATCAGACTGGGGATAAAGAAATACTGGAGTGTTAATCATTTTTGCAGTAACTCTCATTAGAAGCTCTGAAAACTGATTTTGGGTTCTGAACTCAGTCTTAGACTGTTAGCAAGTAATTTTAGATCCATCTGCGTAAAGCAGAATCTCAAATTAGCTGGGCATGGTGGCACACTCCTGTAGTCCCAACTACTTGGGAAGCTGAGATGGGAGGATCACTTGAGCCTGAGAGGCAGAGGTTACAGCGAGCCCAGGTCACACCCTGCACTCCAGCCTCAGCGATGGAGCAAGAAGCCGTCTCAAAAAAAGGGGGGATGGGGGAGGGGAGAGAGAGAAAAAAAGCAGATACTTGCTGCCATATTAGAGAATATGTTCTAACATTCAAACACCAGTAGCTGATGTTTCTTAACTGGGGTAGTTAATATAACCCATTTTGTTTCTCTTAATAGATCTCATAAGTCTATTTTGAGAGGTATTTTTTACCTTACAGATAGAAAAACACAAGAACTTGTCTTCCTCATCAATTGGTTTTTAAGGGAGTAAGGAAAACTGTGTGGTTGGACATACATAGCTCCAACAGAAAAGTAGCATGACAGAGGGAGAGGAGACAGATGAGCTAATGTATTCCCATGTGCAGCACACCAAGCCTCTCATCTTCCAAACATATTTTAAAAATAAAAAACTAGTACTGAGTGAGCAAGGCCAGCACGTATATAGAACAATTACACAAACCACACCAGTGAAAAAAAATCACTTCTCACCTCAAAAGTCTGGCAATCTACAGCTAGGGGTTAATAAAACATGTCTTTATGTTATATGCAATGTCAGCGTATTGATGTTACTGACAAATTTCAGAAAATTCAGTCCCTGAGACTGATGTCAAGTGCTTACCAGCAGTCAAGCAAGGGGATATACAGAAATTACCCTCCACAATGGCAACAGAGATAAACCAATTTTTTTAACCTGAGATAAAGTCTGTCACCTGACTAGTTATTTATGTCTCCCCTTTAGTTGTAAAGGCCCCTGGTGAGCACAGCTGCACAGTGCCTCATTGGCACTGCTCATTTGGCACCAATCAGAAATGTGGATACGTGTTGGCTCTTCTCCTGCTCTTCTGGTCTGTACTAGGATCAACCAGAGTGCTGGCCTCATTACCAGGCCACTCATGTCACACTATCAACTGACCCTGAAGGACCACATCTCATACCTGCAAAATAATGAGGCTGGTGAAAGTCTCTCATGACAGCCACAAAAATTAAAAATCCTACAGTTACAAACTAAGAATGTAGACAAGCAAGCTTAAAGTCTTTTTCTTAATGCTTTCTTCCTTTAATTCATTCCCCAACTTTTAAAAAATGTTTTGGGTATTAAATCTATGAAGCATCCAACATTCAAATAAAATGGACTTCACTTCTCATTTGGAATGTGGCCCCGAGAGGCTCCTCTTTCTGGGTTGTCCATCTCCACAAAGCTGCGTCACTGATTTTTCTAAAAATCATAAACCTGATCTTGTTATTCACCTACCTAAAACCTTTCTGGGAGCCCTGGTGCCTACAGGACTAAAGCTCCTGAGTATTTTTTTTTTTTCCTTGGGACGGAGTCTTGCTCTGTCGCCGAGGCTGGAGTGCAGTGGCGCGATCTCCGCTCACTGCAAGCTCCGCCTCCCGGGTTCACATCATTCTCCTGCCTCAACCTCCTGAGTAGCTGGGACTACAGGCGCCCGCCACCACACCCAGCTAATTTTTTTTATTTTTAGTAGAGATGGGGTTTCACCATGTTAGCCAGGATGGTCTCGATCTCCTGACCTCGTGATCTGCCCTCCTCGGCCTCCCAAAGTGCTGGGATTACAGATGTGAGCCACCATGCCAGGCCTCCTGGGTGAGTATTTCAAGCAGTACTTCTGCCAGCCTCAGCCCTCCCAGGTAAGAGCACCCTTCCTGCGTTCTGCCTCACTTTCTACCCTTCAAGCACAAGGAGCAGGGAGGCTCTGGGAAGCACAGATCTTCTCCCTGCCTGGTCTCTAACTGTTGCCTTTCAAAAGTCTTCCTCAGTATCCCTGCCTCCATTTCTGGGATACCTAGGCTGTCTACGTTTATATTTACCCAAACTAGATAGACTTTATATATGTGTGCCTACAGATTTTCCTTATTAGACTGTGAGCTTCTCCTTAAGGGCACAGACTATTCCGAGGGTTCCTTACCCAGCACAGCGCTTAATAAATGCGATGCTTAATACATATCTTTGACTGAAATAATTATATTCAAGCATTACTCAATTTCCAATGATTCAGAATTCTGCTGAATTCTGCCAGTCTATTTATTATCTAACGACAAAATGTGACTCATTGATACCTAAAACTGATTTTACCAAATTCTTTTACCCATCAAATGAATCAAACCTAGAAGGCAGGCTGACAACACCCTTTCTTAGATGGACCAAGAGAGTTGCCTCAGCTAACACCACGTGTTAATCAGTTAATGTTACATGTTTTATTCTTCAGTTTACCATACTTATTAATTAGTCATAAAACCCCAAGTGCTCTACAGTAAAAGAAAAGGTACTACGTTTGGGTAACACTTAGAGAAAATACACATTTAGTTTTAAATCAACAGATTCAGAATAATTTTAGAAAGCTACCTCTAGGATGAAAACTTGGACAATAAACAAATCTCTCCATGCTGCTATAAATACATCATGGGGAACAACACAAGAAAATACAGGATCCAGAGAGAGAATTTTAAATGCAAGGCAAATTAAGCGGTCCTTCCACTGCTGAAAGCCCTCCACAGGTTTGCTATAGCATTCAAAGTTAAAATCCAGAAGCCTGGCCAACAAGGCCCCATTCCCAGCACACTTCCGAGATCTAGCATCCTTCCTCCCCCTATCCTCCCTGGAATACTAGCCAGACTGGCTGCCTTTTCATGCCTGGAGCAGGTCAAGCTGTGCATCGCTAATCCCCGTTTGCATGCTCTGTGCCTAAAGCTGAGGAAGACTCGCTCTCTCTCCACTAATATCTCAGGTTATAACTATCGGCTCCTCAGCCAGTCCCCGCCACCAGAGGTGCTCTCCAGCACTTCACCTTTCAATCCCCATCTAAAATGATCCTGCCTACTCACTCATCTGTTCCGTCATCATCTGACTCCCTGCACCCATCCCAAGGAAGAATGCATGTGGCTGCAGGTCAGTCACCCCTTCCCGCTTGATCCTATTTACCCAGCACTAACCCATCAGGTCATATGAATATTGGTTGAGTGAGATTTTGCACATCTAACTCTACATACAGATCCAGAGACTCAATAGTTTTTTTAAATAAATTTTGAAGTTAACCATTTAATAATAACATTTAAAAAAAAACAGGCAGTTATGAAGAACATTCTCTAAACTGATTAAAACATCAAATTTTCAAGTCCCACACAGAAAACAAGAAAAACAAATTATTCCCAAATTCATCTTGCCTCAAGAAGAAACTGCTGAAACGTCCCCAAGGTGATTTTAAAAGGCACCTCTTCTCTCAAATTATTCAGGAGCAAATTTGGTTTTAAGAAACAACTAACTTCTACAGCCCATAAGAGATCAAATGTACTAAGTGAATATACTGTTACTTAATTTAAGCACCAGAAAATCCCAAACATACACCAAACTGAATGAGGTACATTCTATAGAACAGCTTGGAACACAGGACAGGATTTACCATTCCAAAAGGAAGAGTCCCTCCCAGTCACTGAACTTCTAACGCACACATTCCAGAGAACCAATTGCACCACATACAATAAGAAAAACCTTTGAAACTGGGCCAATGTACCAAGCACAGCTTCAGCCAGAACAAATGCTCAGCATTTAGACTTGCTAACCAGCAGCAAAAAGCAACAGGAAAAGGCTTACACTTGGAAAATGAAAGGAAAAGTGTCTGTGTATTGATAAGAACAGTGGGGAACAACAGGATATTAAGGAAACTGGCAAGATGCAATTTATTTCTCTAAAGAAAAAACATTTATTCTTGTTTTGTTTTTTGAGACAGGGTCTCACTATCACCCAGTGCAGTGGCACAATCATGGCTCGCTGCAGCCTCCAACTTCTGGGCTCAAGGGATCCTCCCACCTCAGCCTCCTGAGTAGCTGGGACTACAGGCATGCACCATCATGCCCAGCTAATTTTTAAGTATTTTTGTAGAGATGGGGTCTTGCTTTGTTGCCTAGGTCGGTCTCAAACTCCTGGCCTCAAGCAATCCTCTTGCCTTGGCCTCCTAAAATGCTGGAACTACAGGTGTGAGCCCCTGCACACAGCTTGAAACATTTATTGTTGAACTGAGTACACAGGAACCCATCAACACATTTTTCAATTACTGAATAAACCAAAAAAAAATTGTAGGGCTCCTCCACTCTCCACTTCAAGCTCATTCTATCATGGGAGAGTATATCCAAAATTAAATGTCAAGGATCCTCCAACCCCCCAATCAACAACTGCTACAAGGAGAAACCACTGTCAATTACATTTTAAACAGGCTGCTGTGGACACATTCATAAAAAGAGACAAAATTCCTACAACTGAGAAGTTTTTTCTAGGCTCCTAGCAAACAACACATGGACTACAAAGCAGATACCTAACCTTATTTGCATATTACACAAAGCAGACAGCAACAACAAAAAAAGGAGGAATAAGTTGTCCATACAAATGCTTTTAAAGAACCATCAGCGCTTTTGTTTATATCTTGATCTTGGTTATCTTTCCCTTTGGTTATTTAATTACACACGCCACACTCGTTTCTACAGAAAGAAAGCTTAATGTCATAAAAACTAGAGGCAGTTTCATTTTGTTCCATTTCATTCCACAGACATTTCAAGTAGGAAGAACAGGGAGATTATTATAGGAGAAGAAAGCTGGAAACATCTATTGGTATTTTATATGGTAACAAGCAACAGTTACATGTTTCTAAATATTCTCATTTTCATCATAACCCCAGCTCACCTCCTACTACCCGCTATAATTGGCATCTCCTTAAAGCTAAACAGTAAGTCATTGTTTTTCTGCAGAAGTCTCCCTTCATTTGACCTCTGCTAAGCCGTGTTGTGAGCCTTACAAAGCTTGTCAGGATTCTTTGGGCTGGATTTTGGCTCAGCTATCAACATTTATATGCAGAATATATCATCTTTTCACCATCACTACCAATAGGCAGTTCACTTGCATAAAACAAAAGGTATTTATCAATCTTAAAGCATCCCTCTAACCTTCAGCCAACGCTAAAAATTAGAATCTGAGAGTTCAAGTAATTAAGAAAGACATACACTTGAGAATTTTTAGAGTCCTTAATAATGTTAAGTTCTTGATAAGGCTGTAAAGTTTCCATTTCTACTCTCTGAAAAGCAGACACTAATATATCCACTGCAAGTAAACAATAAGGAAACATTCAACATTACCACCAGATACACTGTGACAATTTATATTTTATAAGACCTGTTTATAAAATAATTTCTTCAAAACAGAATTGTATTTTGAATATTATTTACGTCAAAGTTGAGAACAGGAATGCATTTATCTATGGCTTTCTGTACTTCAAGGTTGTAAGCCTCACAGAATGAGAACAGAAAAGCCCCTGATTTCCAGTAAACATTGACTTCCTCTTATGTGCTAGACCTAGGGATAAAAAGGTGAGGGATTCCACAATTTAGCGAGATACACAAATGAAGGAGGAGGAACAAAAGAAAAAAAAAAAAACATATGCTAAGAGTGATAGTAGAGGTTGATTACAAGTGCTAAAGGACTAAGGAGAAAAACAGGAACTCTAAATGGAGGAGCCTGGGGTGATTTAATTAATTAAGAACAGGGACATCTGAGCTGAATCTTGAATGATGAGCAGAAGTTTCCAAGAGAGAAAGAGGCCTCCGCCCCAAGACAGCACTTAAGTTTGTAGGGGAGTGATCATTCACCATAGGGTGTTTGCATCCGTCTTACTCCACTCAGATTTCTCACAGGATGGGTCCGAAAGCATGCCTGATACTCTGTGGGGACGATAACGTCTTGCAGCCACCCACTCCACTGGTCTGGAGTGCCTCAATTATCTTTCAGAGCCTGCAATACCCTCCTACCCCCACCCCAGACAACGGCCTGTGGGCTTTCCTCAGCCTGAAACAACGATCTCAAATTACTGTGCACGTGGAAAACTGTCAGTTTTCGGGAAATGAACCGAGTGTGGATGTGGGAGTTTAGAATGCAAATGCACTCAACTGGGGCCTCAGATGATCACACAAACAAAACCGATCACCATTCCCAGACCCCTTTTGCTCCTCATTGCCCAAAAGAGGCTCAATCTTGGGAATGCGAGTCACTCAGCACTGGGTCTGCACAGAGTACCAGGACGCTGGTTACACAGAGCTTTGCTGTGAAGTCTGGCCTAACCTCCTAATTCAAATGATTTTACACTGTTTTCAAGACTTCCACATATCATTCTGTTTGCTGAGCCAACATTAACAATGTGAAATGGAACGGGGAAGAAAAAAAAAAAAGCTCAGTGTAAGTTTTAAACGAATATTTAGTTGCATACTCCCACCCCCAAACTGTTCGCTTATTTCCTGACATGCTTAGACCAGTGTTTCAGACTTGTAAGTAAAATTAAAGAAGGGTAAGACTGCCAGCGGCAAAGGGGGGAGAATTTTTTTAACCATTCATATTTAACACTGGCCAATCTTTAAATTTCAACTTTAAAATGTTCCTTAAAGTTAGCAAGAAATAAAAGGATGGGCTAGTCCAGGGATTGGCAAACTATGGCTCATGGGCCAAATCTGGACCAGCTACCTATTTTTGTAAATAAAGATTCATTGGAACATAGTGATCCTCATCTGCTTACGTATTGTTTATGGATGCTTTGGTCCCACCACAGCAGAGCTAAGTAGGTGCAACATAAACCGCGTGGGCTGCAAAGCCTAAAATATTTACCATCTGGTCCTTCACAGAAAAGGTTTGTTGACCCCTGGACTAGTCCCTAAATTAGTAAGAAACACAAGGGGTGATTTTTTTTTTTTTAAGTTCATTTAAAGCCTAAAGGAATAGAGACTGCTTCTGAAATAACTTCTTGTAAAATATACAGTCTTTCAGTGACAGCAATTTCTCCTTATCTGCCTTCTTGACTTCAGGGAAAAGATTAAAATCTCCATTCTTATCTCTAATTATCTCATTTAAATGTCTTTCCCCCTTATTCCAAAAGATTAGCAAAATGTGATGTGTGATGGAAAGTGTGCCAAGCAGGCAGCCTCCATTCACTGTACAATGTCACCCAACATCTTCAGGACTCTTCCCCATCTCCAAAGCTTGACCTTTTCACAATGCCTCCAAGGTGTTGTGAAGTGTGTGTTGATGGAAGTGTGGGAAACCCATGAGGTATGAAACCACTCCAGTCACTGTTCTGGCTGCATCTTAAAGTGAATAACGGACTTAACACTACAATTCTTTATAATTTGAGGATAAAATAAATGGAAATGACAGGATATACGGGACACAGCACAGCAAAAGGAAACACTAGGAGACACTCTGGGAGTAAGAACTCCCAAGGCACAGGGAGTCCATCCAACTTCCCTGTGCTATCTATTCCAGCAGGCGGGTGTGGTTTTTGGAAAATATGAAGAATTAAGCCAGTGGCTGCTATTAAAGGTCAGAACTTAATGTTCCTCAAATGTCCTGATTCTTCAAAAGTCTGGTGGGAGAATGCACTGCTGGATCTGAATACCTTTACGTACATAAAAAGACATCTGTCAGGCTGACAGTGTAAGGAGGAAACAGGTTGACAGTCTTCATAACGTTAAACCTCTGTCTTCAAATGGAGGTAGAGTGAACCTCTTACATATTCTTATCACCTATTCCTTCCCATTTAAAACCTCTATGCCCCACCTGCACTCAGGGAGACCTTGTTTCCCCTTATAACTCTAGCCTAATCACAGATTCCCAACTATTCTCTTACAATAAAGTAGCTCAGAAACGGCCACAATATTTATATCAAAGTTTACCAAATGCTAGAGGATAACAGAATAAAAAGAAACAGGTAACAGGCATCCAGGTATCTGACAAATTACAACCTGCCCGATTTCAGTCTGGGGCCCCTGGTTATTTACAGACCCACCATTAATTTACCTGGGAGGACACTCACTCACCCCCAGATTTCTCTCATTGTGGCCAAAAGGAAGCCTTTGAGAGCCCTGGCCATGAAATAAAAGACCCCACCTGTGTAGGATGACAGACATCAACTAAGGGCACCTCCTTTGGGGACAATCCGCCTGCCTTCCCACAACTTCAAAAGCATAACACTGGAAGAACACAATCCAATAGTCCTAGCATTTCTCTAATAAATGCACTCCTAGAGTGGCAGGGAATGATTTAGTAATAGTTATATTCTGTCACATGCATTTTACTGTTACCCAAAAATGGGGAGGTCTTAAATGGACATGAGTCTCCACTTTCCTTCAGTGTGAGAAGGGCTGGTTCTAAAAAATTTATCTTTAATTCTCAGCAAGAGACAACCTAGGTGAAGAAAAACGTACCTTAATCCAAGAGCTTTGGTCTGAGACCTCAAGGAATTTAAATAATCTCTACAAAATGAGGTATTATCAAGCACACACAACTCATCCAACAGGTTTTAAAAAATTGAAATGACACCCTGAGAGGAAGAAAAATAAAACAGGTTACGTGTTTGTTTACTCTTCTTCTAATCATCTTCCCAGATACACACCAAAAAATAACCTTAAGAATAGTTCCAAATCTTACTAGGGGTATGAGTTACACAGATGCATGCACTGTCAAAATGGGCCAGTACACTTAAAATTTGTGCCTTTCACTGCATTTTATACCAAAAGAAAAAAAAACGTAAAAAAAAATACTGAACTTTAATGATATACAAGCTATTTACGGGACAGTATACTCTCCCACAACTTATATAAGAAGTATAAAAATACATTAATGGATGGACACAGCAACAAAGAGATGAATATATGGTAATGCAAGTAAAATAAAATGTTAATACAGACTGGGTATCCCTTTATCTGAAATGCTTGGGACCTTAAGTGTTTTGGGTTTCAATTTTTTTTCTTTTTTTTGGATTTTGGAACACTGGCATTTAGCACTACTAATCTTAAAATCTGAAAAATAAAATGCTCCAATAAGCACTTCCTTAGAGTGTCATGTCATCACTCAAAAAGTTTCAGATTTTGTAGCCAGGCCTGGTGGTGCACGCCTGTAATCCCACCTACTTGGGAGGCTGAGGCAGGAGAATCACTTGAACCCCAGGAGGCAGAGGTTGCAATGGGCCACTGCATTGATCACACCACTGCACTCCAGTCTGGGCGACAGTGAGACTCACCTCAAAAAAAAAAAAAAAAAAAAAAAACCCAACAGCAACAACAACAAAAAGTTTCAGATTTTGGAATGTTTAGGATTTTGAATTAGGACTATTTAATATGTACTTATAATCTGAGAATAAGGCTTTTTACTGTGAAATTCATTAAACTTTTCTGAATGTTTGAAAATGTTCATAATGTTAGAAAAAATAACCACAAGAATAAACTATTAAATTTGGTCAAAACACTGTGGTAGGATCGTTGTGTGCCCCACATTTTTCCAACAGACTCTCCTCTCTCCTCTAGGGTATTTACAGGCTTCTGGTTAAATCTCAGATTTTAGCAGAAAGGAGTAATTTGGAAGCACAAATTTATCTATGAAATATTATAGCAAATCTTTGGAAGGAAAGGAACTCAAGAGTGGTCCTAAACTTGTGAGACACATGATTTCATCAGCTGTCAGCAGAACTGAAATAGCAGAAGTGTGCATGTTACATGTGTATCCGTGCATGCACGCCAAGCAAAACTAGAGCACTTACCTAACACCTTCAAATCTTTCTCTGGCTTCTGCTTTTTGCTCTACTGGGAAACTACAAGCAATCTAGTAGAGACACATGCATACATTTGTAGAAGTAAGTTTCAGATTCCCACCTGGGAAGTTTTCAGGGTAATCTCCTTAGCAGCCACTGTGAAGGCTTAATTCACCTTCCCTCATTTCCTCCCCCAGTATTCATTCTTTAAAATATACTTTTCTCTACTTGGGAATTAGGCTGTTTGTAAAGTTTCAGAAAGTTAATCTTCTCTGGTTCTTGTCCTATTTCTTCCTGTACTGATTTAGGGCCTATAAAGAAACCACCGGAATCACATTTCCTTCTTCATATTTCAAAGTGTTTTTCCTGCAAGTGCTTCCCCACAAAATTACCAAGCCAGAAAGCCTTGAGCTTTTAGGAAGGATTGAGTCTATGGTTCTATTTCATCTAGTTTGAGTTACATCTGGTATATAAAATACGAGAGAACCAGATTTTAGAAAAGCATTTTACATAAGTAAATCTGTAATACAATAGGTATTACCTTATATGTACCAATCTCCCTTCGCCCATTATTTCTCCTCTGAGCTAGTTCTAAATGCTGCTGCAATAAACCTCCTCCCTGCAGACATGCTGAGGAACCATGTCATTCGAAATTCTTTCCTTGCTCTTTTAGAAGTCTGGCCTCAGTTCCCTACTAACGGGCCCTCCTCACCTCCAACTTCCCTACCACTTCCTACTACAGAGCAACTGGATGGCCACTCAAGGTCCCCACACAGAGACTGCTGTTTGTCAGTCTCCTGCCACGACTTTGTTGAAACTGAAGGAGGCAGAGAGGAGGCTCAGCAACATGCCACACGATGGAACATTTTGGTTACCATCACAGTAAACGAGTACAGGGAATGGTCTCAGCAGGGCATGGTGGCTCACACCTGTAATCCCAGCAATTTGGGAGGCCGAGGCAGGAGGATCGCTTGAAGTCAAGGGTTCAAAGACCAGCCTGGCCAACATGGCAAAACCCCATCTCTACTAAAAGTACAAAAATTAGCTGGGTGTGCATGGCAAATTTTTAATTTTATTTATTTACCTATTTATTTATTTTGAGACAGAGTTTCACTCTTGTTGCCCAGGCTGGAGTGCAATGGCATGGTGTCAGCTCACTGCAACCTCCACCTCCCGGGTTCAAGCAATTCTCCTGCCTCAGCCTTACAGGCATGCACCACCACGCAAAAAAAAAAAAAAAAAAGCATGGTCTCTGGAGTTAGTGAAGGATTCAGACCTAGGCTCTGCCACTTCCTAACTGTGGTTCTTTGGGTAAATCATTTACTCACTAAACATGGTGGTGAGGGGTAGAGTAAGGCTGTGTAACCCACAGAGCACCCAGGAGTGTCTTGCACATACTGTGTCCTAAGCAAATACAGGTCAAGTAACTGACACCTGGGGCCAGCATGATTTAGGGTCTGATGACAATGTACAGACGCTCTCGGAAACACAAACATCCCCATGCATAGGAACTAGGCGAAACCTGCAGAGCGAGAGTTCTCCACTATTGACACTTGGGGCCAGGTAATTCTTAGGGTGGGGCTGTCCTGTGTATTGCAGGACGTTAGCAGCATCCCTAGCCTCTATCTGAGATGATGGTAGCACACCCCCCTCCCAGGCGTGACAGCCATATCTGTCTCCAGACATTGCCAAATATCCCCGGGATAGGGAAGGGTAAAATCTCCTCCCCTGTGGAGAACCACCCCTGTAGAGAATGAGAAATATTCCCAAAGTCACTGTGTTACTTCTCTACTGGGATAGCAGCCACCACAATAATGCAGGACGGAAGGAACTGACATGGGAAATCTTTGCCAATGGCTACATTTATGACCGGCACGTCTGAGATGCTGTCACTGCCAGGTACAGCCAACAGGACAAGCCATACACTCTCTAAGCCTTAGTTTCGTCCTCTCTAAAATAGAGATGAGAATTGTACCAAAAAGTTTTGGGCTGTTGTAATAATTACATTAACTAATGCAGACATAGTGCTGAGCCCAGTGCCTAGTGTTCAATAACTGTGAGTCATTATTAATGAATATACACAGCTGGAGTCCAAGTGCTGGCAAAGGAGCACAGGCTTTGGTGCCCCTTCCTGCATTCTGCCTATGCCTCTCCCATTACATCCCTTTCCTCCCTAAAAAGGGAGATAACTCAATACTAAACACAATAGATGGTCACTAGAGCTGGCAGCCTATGGAGCAGGATAAGAGAACCTTGTGAAAAAAGGGGATCCCAAGGATGGCATAAAATGTGGTATCTCACAGCAGAGGTGAAGGGATGCATGCATTTCACACTAAAAATGAAGGGGTGGAAAAATGTTTTATTCTAAACATCAGTTTTTTCTAAAGAAGCAGGATAGGGATCAGGATCGGGGCTGGGCGCAGTGGCTCACGCCTGTGATCCCAACACTTTGGGAGGCCGAGGCGGGTGGATCACTTGAGTCCAGGAGCTTGAGACCAGCCTGGCCAACATGGTGAAACTCCATCTCTACTAAAAAATAAATAAATAAATTAGCCAGGCGTGGTGGTGGGCACCTGTAATCCCAGCCTCAGGAGGCTGAGGCAGGAGAATTGCTTGAACCCAGGAGGCAGAGGTTGCAGTGAACAGATAGCGCCACTGTACTCCAGCCTCGGAAGACAGAACAAGACTCTGACTCAAAAAAAAGCAGGATCCTAAAGGAGGATGAAGGGTAAAAGGGATTTCACATCTTTTATACAAAAAGGTTCCATCCACATACATCCCCTGTCCCAAATATTGCTGGAGTTCCCCAAGTTACAAATACCCTACCATCTCTCTCCAAATTCCCCATGCAGTAACCAAGCTGGAGAAAAGGCACTTACTTCCCAGAGGCTAACGCTGGGAAACACTGACCTCACATTTCTTCACTCTGAGAGGAATTTTACACATACCATGTTTCCCTACTCTCATCCTCTTTTTTTGTTTCAGTTATAGCTCAGTTTAGAGATAAACAGACACCCCACCCATATTCCATTTTCTATGCCTTCCTTTGCTCCACCAGTAAATCATGGGTCACTGGCCACATGGATATATGTATGAAGGGCAAGGAGACATTTACATGTAAGTCTGGAGTAGATCTGAAGCTGTGTATCAGCCGTCACTTGCCATGAGCCTCAGTTTATCTGTATAATGGCAGTGATAAGCTCTGCCTTGCAGATTAAATGATACCATTTTGCAAAGTTCCTGGTTCAGAGATCAGAACATAACAGAATGCTCAATAAATAATTGCTTAATAAAAGACTGCTATTACCATAGATCAAAATTATACATAATCCTCTGTCCTTAAAAGTGCCCAGGTTTACCAGTGGAAATGCCCCTGCCCCAAAGAATCCATTTTTTCCAGTCTCCTCCAAGTAATCTTAAAGATCCCTTACACCACTCCTCTTTCTCCATCCACAAAACCCCCTAAAGCTAAAAGCTAACACAAGTATAGAACGAACCCTCTTGTTTAAGCATGGTTTTCATGCTTTATTTCAGTGATTGCACCGTTTGCCATTATTATTCCAAATGTTGGACATTTTGGCACAAGTTAAGAAACATTCTGGCTCTAGCCTAGGGCCTAACCTTCATCACATGATTTTCCTTGCTGCTTCTGCAAAACATTTTCTATGTCCCAAACACATTTTTGGAAGAAAATCAGTAAACTGGAAACTATCTACACTTTTTTTAATTTCCAACACCTATTGAAATAACTACCCACTCTAGCCAGTTCAACCATGAAAATATAGTGAAAAAAGTCATTGTTGAATTAAAATAGAAAATTTCTTCTCAAATAAATGAATAATTTAAGTGGTTCTGTCCTTCAGTTTAGGCACAGTTTTTATAATAAGTCAGTAAGTATAGAAGTATCTGAATTTTCTATTTCTGATAATTTAAACATACATTAGGTTAAAATTTACAAAGTTAAAAGGCAGTTACCACAAATCCATTCATTTCCTTGTCAATTTTTAAATGAGACTGACACCAAAAAACAAAAACTAAACAGAATTCTTCCCCAGCTAATTTTAAGATAACATTGAAAAGCACAGTTATAAAATGATTTCAGTCTGCTGGGCACAGTGGCTTACACCTTTAATCCCAGCACTTTGAGAACCCAAAGTGGTAGGATCACCTGAGTTCAAGACCAGCCTGAACAACAAAGAAAGACCCCATCTCTACAAAAAAAAATTAAAAATTAGCTGGGCATGGTGGTGTGTGCCTGCCTGTAGTCCCAGCTACTCGGGAGGGTGAGGCAAGAGGATCACTTGAGTCCAGGAGTCTAATGCTGCGGTAAGCTATGATCACACCACTACACTCCAGTCTGGGCAACAGAGACTCCATCTATATTAAATAAATAAATTAAAAATAAAATAAATAAAGATTTTGGCTTGGATGTATGATTCTAACGTTACTTATTGAGGCAATGCTTGGGTTCTTTGCTAACATTCGTGTGTGTGTGTGCATATATATACACACACGTGATATGTATATATATACACACACATGATATTATATATATATACACACACACAGATATATATACATATATACACACAGATATATATATACACACAGATATACATACACACACATATATATACACACACATATATATACACACACATATATACACGCACATATATATACACACACAGATATATATACACACAGATAGATATAGATAGATATATATATATATATATATATATATATATATATATATATCTGTAAGCACGGGAAGAAAACATCGTAGAGGGGTCCTTGATTTATTTGGATTTTGTGGGCTATACTAGTTTTTCTTCAGCTACCACAGTCTTACAAATAAATATGAATGGGTAAAGCTTTTAAGTATGGTGTTCAGTAATACTTTCCATCACCAGCATCATGAACAGACTGGAACATCTACTAAACCTAAGTGTCAGTGTGTTAATATCTCTGTTAACTACCTTGGCTCCTAGCACAATGTATAAAATAACACCTTGCTTTAGTCAATGTTAACTGGGCTATTTTTGACTTTTAAAAGTGTTTTTAGCATGGCATTTTTTTTTTTTTTTTTTTTTTTGAGATGGAGTCTCGCTGTGTCACGCCCAGGCCAGAGTGCAGTGGCACGATCTCGGCTCACCGAAACCTCTGCCTCCCAGGTTCAAGACATTCTCCCACCTCAGTCTCCCAAGTAGCTGGGATTACAGGCACCCGCCACCACGCCTGGCTAATTTTTTTGTATTTTTAGTAGAGATGGAGTTTCACCATGTCAGCTAGGCTGGTCTCAAACTCCTGACCTCAGGTGATCCGCTGGCCTCGGCCTCCCAAAGTGCTGAGATTACAGGCGCGTGCCACTGCGCCCGCCCTAGCATGGCATTTCTAAGCATAAAGATGTGAAAGATTTATCTGTTCCTCTTCAAAATGACAATCTCAAAAATCATAACAGTCTAAAGTAATCCCAACCCCTTTTTCCCCTATGTGTTGACTAAATCACTTATCAAACACACATAAAGAATAAGTCAACAATGTGAAAAAATTTAATGCATAAATAAAAGATTGAAAGGGAACAAAAAGAAAATGTTTAGACAAATTACTGAGATTCAGGAAGACATTTCTCTTTTAATTACAATTAACTTACAATTAGTTTTGTTTTACTGAACTACAAAAAAAGATTCTAAAGAGCCTAAATTACATCTATTATTTCCAAGGCATACTGATTCAATCAAGTCTGCCAGAAAGTGGGATACTATCCACAGAAACAATGATACTGTGAAACACTGCTTCTGCCTAAAGCCAGATGTAAATCACCTATAGAAATATGATTCCACTCTTACAGAGTTACATTAAAAATACATTCATTTATGACAAGAGCAAATGTACATTTTTACTTCTGGATAAACTGAGGCAAACAGGATTTCCCTAATGTCTCCAAGATAAATGAGTGGTGTCTGGTGAGTGACTCAGGAGTCCCTGGCCCTCTACTTTAGCCTTTCCCATTCCATGAAAATCTACAAAGAACACGGTAATCCATTTAAAACTTTAGTACTTCTGAAAAACAGGATGAGGTTTTACAAATTTGTTAGGAAGTCATCCTATTACAAGGCCCCAAGTTGTTTGACAGAAGACTCAGAAAAATTACATGAGAAAACAGCCACAAAAATTCTGAGAGTGCACCTCAGAAGGGTAAAGAAGGGCAATCAGCCCGATCATATATTAAAACGCATACAAAGGTACAGTGAATTTGATGATGGCGCTTAAATATAGAGAACAGAATGGTGAGTCTTGGGGAAGAGAGGAAGGGTTCAGAAATCTTCCATCACTCCTTAAACCAAAATAAAATCCGCATGCAGAATATATTAAAAGATACACATCTTTTTAAGAAATATCACCTATACTCAAAGAAACCTTCTGGAAGAATACATTAAAAACTAATATTGCCAAACAGGACAATTTGAAAAGACGACGTTAACAATGATGACTACCTGTGCATCAAAAACATGGCATTACTGGGCATGGTAATCCCGCCTGTAATCCCAGCATTTTGAGAGGCTGAGGCAGGCGGATCATGAGGTCAGGAGACTGAGAACATCCTGGCTAACACAGTGAAACCCTGTCTCCACTAAAAATACAAAAAATTAGCCGGACATGTTGGCACGTGCCTGTAGTCCCAGCTACTCAGGAGGCTGAGGCAGGAGAATCCCTTGAACCCAGGAGGTGGAGGTTACAGTGAGCCGAAATTGCGCCACTGCACTCCAGCCTGGGCAACAGAGCAAGACTCCATCTGAAACAAAACAAAACAAAACAAAAACATGGCATCAACATTTGCAAAGAAACTTAAGATAGCAGTGTACTCATATGAGGCTTTTATTCATCTCTTAGTCCATGGCAGATCAAACAGACAAAATAAGAATACAGAAATAAGATACAAAACCACATTTATCTCTGGACTCTGAAAATAAAGCAAATACGTTCTTTCTTACATGGTCGTGAAACATTCATAAAAGCAATCATTATGCCACAAAGGTCTATAACTCAATACATTCATTTGAAAATAACTGTGAAGAGAAGTACAAAAGAGATGAGGTGATAATGAATGCAGATCTTTGAAGCAACTTTATGTAATTAAATATAGCTGTGATACACAAAGGACAAAAACTTTCAGTTCCTACAGTAGTTTATTGTGATCACATTTTTTCAAGAAGCCACAGAATCCCTTGAGAAAAAGGTGCTGTTTTCAAAAAATTCTGTGTTTTTCCTCTGCTCTCACACAACAATCGTCAACACAGAAGACTTCTGTGATCAAACGTGGGAGGAGGAGATTTTCCTACTATCTACACAACTACCTGGAGATGGAGTCAGATCCCACAGGTTGAGGGCTCAGTCCCCAAGACTGCCCCCCCCCGACCCCTTCAGACACCAGTCACAGGTCTGGACCTCCAGAACTTCTGATAGACTGGTTTCAAGTTGGGATCCCACGGTTTCAATTAATTTGCTGGAGTGGCTCACAGAACTCAAGGAAACACCTACTTAACGTTTAACGGTTTATTGTAAAGGACATTACAAAGCACACAGATGAAGAGATGTGTAAGGTGAGATATGGGGGAAGGGGCGTGGTGCTTCCATGCCCTCCCTGGGCACACCACTCTCCCTAAACCTCCACATGCTCAGCTATCCAGAAGCTCTCTGGAGACCCAGTCCTCTTGGGCCTTTTATGAAGACTTCATAGTGTAGGCAAGATTGACAACCATGTAGAAATGTGACTGGACAAAAAGGGTATGATCTAAATCAACCAACACCCTTCAGTTCAGATTTTTCTTGGCCTCTCTGTACAGCATTCCTTCCTCCAGAGTATGGGGCAGGAACTCTCTGGAATAAAAGTCTTTAGACTTACAATTAGATTAGAGTCCTGCCTTGGGCAAGTGAAAGGAAGATAAGAGAAGGTCACAGAGAGATTCTGTCTCCTGAGGCCTAAAGTGCCCCACCATTATAACAAAAGACTAACAAGGACTGTGGGAGTTATGGGCCAGGAACCATGGACGAAAACCAATATATAATCATAATATCACTGGTACTTAAACCATCTGCTACTTCCTAAACTATCCAAGGCAGAAGATTATTTCCTATTGCTAAATATATAAAAAAGAACACCACTTCTGTGTTTTCCTTCATGGGCTTTGCTATTTATCTCTTCAAGATCTATTTTTGGCAGAGATAGAGACCATCTTTCACCCCACTTCCCATAACAGTCCTTCACACATACAAAAGGTTGTTTTGTAAATTAACCTTTATATTTAATAGCCAGGTGGAATGCCCTCCTTACTGTCTAAATCTTCACTTCCTTATAACTGTACCTCACTGACCTGGGGGCCTTTCTAAATTCTACCACATCCCTTATTTGATGGCTCCCAAAGAAAAATGTCCTCTCGAATTTCTTTTCAACACTTGTTTAATGTGTTTACATTTATGTGCCAATTAAGCCTAAGTTTTAGAAACTATAGTCTCTATTTTAAAGTTCATAGCTAGGTTGTTATGGTACTCACTTTGCCTTTATTAAAATAAATTAAAAACAGGGCTAAGTTTTGGTAGAACTACAAACCACTAAAACAATCAAATTTTTATTTCAAGAAACTGCCACATGACGGTCATTTCCTAACATTTTTATCCCTGTTTAAAAATGCCATCCTTGGAGGTTGCAGTGAGCCATGATGGTGCCACTGCACTCCAGCGTGGCCAACACAGCAAAATTCTGTCTCAAAAAAAGCCATCCTTCTCACCACCATCACCACTTACTTCCATGTACATTCTAGAAGGACAATTACCTTTCTCTGTGTCATGGCTTGCTCTTTCTCTGCCTCAGGTAACCCTCCTCAGAGGTTCTCCTGGCCCCACACCAAGACCAATTCCCCACCCCCTATTATTCCCTCACAGTATCCTGTTTTTTGCCACTGTGTTTCCACAATTTGCACTTGTTTTATTTGTCAGTTTGTTTGCTTATTTCTGTCTCTCCCACCAAACTATGAGCTCCTTGTAGGGAGGGAGACAGTGTATTTATCTAAACCAACTCAGAGCCCTGCACACACCAATGGTTGGCTCTTAGTGAACAATGAAGTACTCAATACATTTACAGATAACATGAAAAACACTTAATGCGTGTGAATTGGCCACATTCATAAAGCTGTTGATACTGATATAATTCTTACGCAGGTAAATTAATATGCAGAGCAGCAGATTTCAGTAACTTGCCACAATGCATTGAGGCTCTCCAAGTTGAAAGAACACTTGAAAGGCTCATAAAGGAAGAAATGAAGACATCTTCTAGCCAGAGCCTCACAGCTTTTTTTTTTTTAAATAGAACGACTGAATGCTAAAAAGATGATTCATTTTCACTAACGTCACACATGCCCCTAAAGATACTTTCAGAGCATTTCATGAAACATTTTTGTTTGTGCAACAGATCTATCTTTAACTGAAGTCGGAGTACACCATCAAGGGAGGGCACATAGTCACCACCTTCCCCAGGCAGGACCCAAGTCTGAACGATAATTTCCAGACGCTTCACTTAGATAACTTATCTTTGCATGTGAGGCTCTAGTGAATGAGAACAGCGCATTTTTGCCCGAACGCTTTTATTTAAAATGCACATTGAAATAACAATTTATAGGGCCATTTTGCAATTATAAAATAAAGGATTTCTACTTAACAAATAATATATTTAAATTCTGCTATTTGAGGGGTTTATGAGTTGTGGAGTTGGAGTTTTCTTTACTACTTTGACAATAATCAGCATGCATTGGCATTTTAAACTTAATTTGGCTTTCTTTAAACATTCCTCGATATGAATTTCTTCATCGAAAAGCCCAATTTACAAAATACAATAAAGAACTGTATATGGGGGAAAATGAGCGGTGTTTTAAGATCACATATAAATTGAAAACAATATATAATTTTCTAATAATCAAATGCAAAATTGATCAGATCTCAGAACCACTACTTTCATAGCCCAAATAACTATGAAGATAGCAAACAATTTGCAAGAAATTGACTAAATTAGATCAGTTCAAAGTTAGGCTAGGCATATAGTTTGAAAAACTGTTTGGCATTTTCTCAAAAAGTCAAACAAAAAACTATCATAGGACCCAGAAATTCCACCTTCAGCTATCCAACCAAAAAAAAAAAAAAAAAAAACACATATATATACACATACACACACACACATATATATATGTCCAAAGTCTTGTATGTAAATGTTCACAGCAACATTATTCACAATTTTTTAAAAAATTGGGACAACCTGTCCATCACATCTATTAACAGAATACTATTCAGTAATAAAAGGATAGAACCACTGATACATGGTACACCACAGATGAACCTCAAAAAATTATTCAAGTATGGCCAGAATGTGCTGAGGCTGGTAAATTTAAAATATATATACATATGCAAGTAAAGAGAGTCAGATGCAAGAAACCATCATACTCCATTTATGATTCCACTATGTGAAATGCCCAGAAAAGGCATATTTACAGAGACAGAAAGTAGGTTATGGTGGTGGGGCTGGGGACCGGGATTAACTGTAAATGGGCAGGAGGGATCTTACCAGGTATGGGATAAAATGTTCTAAAACTGGTCGCTCCATTCAGTAAAGTAACTAAACATTACTGAGTTGTCACTTGACATGAGTGAATTTTATGATATATAAAATAGACTTCAATAAAATCACTTTTTTTTTTTTTTTGAGACAGAGTCTGACTCTGTCACCCAGGCTGGAGTGCAGTGGCGCAATCTCCGCTCACTGCAAGCTCCGCCCTCCCAGGTTTATGCCATTCTCCTGCCTCAGTCTCCCGAGTAGCTGGGACTACAGGCGCCCGCCACCACGTCTGGCTAATTTTTTTGTATTTTCAGTAGAGACGGGGTTTCACTGTGTTAGTCAGGATGGTCTTGATCTCCTGACCTCGAATAAAATCACTTTTACAAAAACTTGGGCTGGGAAGAAATACCCATAAAATGAGATATAACAAAAGATATAAAAGATCTGGGTGACAAGGAACGTACCTCGATTCAATTTAACTATTCCCCTCTTCCCTCTTTCCCCACAAAAGGTCATTTACACCAAGCTACCAAAAGATCGCCCAGGCTGGAGTGCAACGGCATGATCTTGGCTAACTGCAACCTCCACCTCCCGAGTTCAAGCAATTCTCCTGCCTCAGCCTCCCGAGTAGCTGGGATTACAGGCACCTGCCACTACGCCCAGCTAATGTTTGTATTTTTAGTAGAGACGAGGTTTCACCATGTTGACCAGGCTGCTCTCAAACTCCTGACCTCAGGTGATCCGCCTGCCTGGGCCTCCCAGAGTGCTGGGATTACAGGCATGAGCGACCACGCCCGACTTCTTCATTCTTTAAAACACTCTAAGATCATGGATAATACCAATACTTTAAGGATGTCAACACAGAATACGAGTGACCTCAGAGAGAAAACGAAGTTTTATGCTAGGCTTATCATAAACTGTCAAGAATTTTTATAAAGCCTACAAATTTAAACTCAGAATTAAGTAAACCTAATGATTTTTACTTTACCCTTAAAGAAACATGACTGCTAAAATAAGAAAGAAATGAAGGTGTTTTTAAGAGGAGGCCCCTCCCTGCCCTAAGGGTAAGAACAAATAAAAAACTCACACCATCAGCAGTGACAGAATTATCAAATTCAATCTAACTGCCAACCTAGGACTTTTCATCTTCTGGGCATAGTTCCCATTTAAAAACAAAAACTAAGTTCCAGTGGCACTTTGAATTTTACTAAAACCAAGTCACAAGATAAGCAGACAATCTGAACAACATTAATAATTCTTTCCAATATTTTTAGGTTGCAAAACCTCAATTATGTATTAAGGTAATACACTAGGTTTCATTTTATCCTTTTGCTATTCTAATGCCAGTAAATGTTACTGCCTAATTTTTCCCCTGTGGTACAAAGTTTATTTTTTACACACTTTTTTAAATGGAGAGTTAGCACCGTCTTAACTCTAAAAGGAGGCTGGAGGGGAGAGGGAGACACAGACTGTAAATGAGTAACAGGAAAACATTCCTATAGCTGTAATTGCTAGGTCAAAATTACCTGAAAAAATATAAAAGGACAGAGCTTTAGCTTACTTTATACCAATGACTATCCTTTCAGCAAATAAACAACAACTAAAACCCAGCAATATTAACTCAATAACACGTTCTGTTTTCCTTTAAGGAAAAATTTTCTTAAACCATAATATCATGGACTCAAACTTTTATCAAAGCTCAAAGCTACCAACTTACTAAATAGGCCATCTTAGAAATGTCTAAGGTAGACAGTTTGTCAATTGAGACAAAATTTCTGCAAAGCTAGGGAGGAAACAGGTTTCATAGTTTTGTACAAAACAATGAGAACTAATTAATTTTATACCACTTTCCATAAATTCAAGTCCAGAGTAAATCAGATACACCTGTATTTTTAAAGTAACCAGAATGGGAGAAGTGGGGGAGAAGCAATTTAACAAGTTATCCAGACTTACATTATCCAGGATGAAAGTCACGTGATAATCTTGGGTCTGTCTTGACCACAAAAACATATGCACCAAATCAAAATTTAATTACACTGTATAACATAGTTTAAGTTGTGCTTCATATTTTATTGACTGCTTTGCTTCTGACAGGACAGTTTCCTGAAGGAAAGTTCCAAAAATTGAAAAGTTACAACACCCACATACCAAAGACTGTTTCCTGAATTTTGTTACAGGAAGTGACATCTGCTATAATTTTAACATTTACTTCCCAGTAGGAGTTCCATTTAAAATGTCTTGTTGAACATTATTTGTTCAGCAGTACCCCTAGGCAAAGCTTTTCTTAAAAAACAAAACTTTCATTTCGGTTTCACAAAGTTTGGACAAAACTGACCAATTCACACCATTTTAACTTTTCCCTGGGAACAAAAACAACTGCCACCTGGTAAACTGGGCTGTGTGTGGTAGAGAGAGAGATACTTAGCAGTTAACTCTAACTGGGGAGGGAGCCCACAACGCATGGAAAAAAGTAAATTAAATACCCTGCTCCTTGAGAAGAAACAATTCTTGGGAAGGTGCTGTATGATCAAACACTGGGAATTGCTTCTTGGTATCTTTTAATTTTTTTTTTAACACAGACGCATTTGGATATTTCAACCAACAGTTTGTAATATAAGGATAAATTTTATGGACGTAGATATCCACCTTCTCTACCAACCTCCAGTCTGTTTCAATAGGAGGGGAAAAATGTGTATTTATAAGCATATATGATATCAAAATTTAATAGCATCATACAACATGGTTTATATGATCTCTCTCACTCACACATGCACCATCTCACAAAGCATGGTACCTGCGCCCCTGGCCTTACAGACAGCAGAGCTCCACCCAGAACCTGTCCATTCAGAATCTCTGGGGGAGGGGGAGCAGAATCTGCATACTAACAAGCACCCACGGTGATTTTTGTGTCTAATCAAGTTTGAGAACCCTGAACCTCATATGACCATATTGCCCCTAAAATAGCCTTTTACTTTTTATTTGTTTAGTTGCCAATCCAGCAGTAAGCAATACTTAAAAAAAAAAAAAAAAAAGGTAAGATCTTCATCACAGCCTTAACTCTTCCCCAGCCCACCAAAATAAAGGATCATGTGGCCTGCAGGTCTCCAAGCCCTCACCCATATGAGCCACCACGGAGGAAAAACAATTCTTGGTACTTTTTAGAATGCAGTCAAACAGTGAGTGCCCTTTGAAAACATACCGAAATAAAGACAATCTAGGTGTCAATAAAAATATTTTACCCTTTGTCTGCTTGAGTTCCTTTAGATAAGATGTTTACCCCTGGGATTTTCTCTTAATATATTAAATCTGTCACCAAATTACTGCTCCCAGCAATAGCCTTAAGAACTTGATAGCAGTTCAGCCGGACAGGGTGGCTCACGCCTGTAATCCCAGCACTTTGGGAGGCCGAGGCGGGAGGATCACCTGAGGTCTGGAGTTCGAGACCATCCTGACCAACATGGAGAAACCCCATCTCTACTAAAAATACAAAATTAGCCGGGCTTGGTGGAGCATGCCTGTATTCCCAGCTACTCCGGAGGCTGAGGCAGAATGGCTTGAACCCAGGAGGCAGAGGTTGCTGTGAGCCGAGATCGCACCATTGCACTCCAGCCTGGGCAACAAGAGCGAAACTCCGTCTCCCAAAAAAAAAAAAAAAAAAAAAAAAAAGAACTTGATAGCAGTTCAATCTGGTTAAATTAAAAACAAAGCCAATAAACTAACACAAGAAAACAGACATTCAGCAGAGAACAAGACTTTCAAGATGCCAGGTCTGTTGGCTCTGTGGCCATCAGGTTAAGCTTTAACTCACTGTGAACAGATAAGAAAAGGAAAAAGTTTGCACAGGGGAGGGATTCTCAACACTGATCACTGCCAAGACACAGAAAGTCAGCAATTTGCATGGTTTTAAAGTTAATCTTTACTTTTAGTTCCCTGGGGCATTAGCACCAAAAGTTATACATATTTTCTCCTGAAGTGTAAATCTAAAGTTCATCTGATACATTTGTACTTGAGCAAGACACTGTGCATTCTACCTGCTGTGTTATTTTGAGCAAATGAGCAAATGAACACTTTATATTCATAATAAAATGAATTGAGGACCATCTGAAGGAGACAGAAAATACTACTTCAGCTCCCCCAGTTTTTACATTTAAGTAAAAACGATTGGTAATCATTTAACCCGTAAAAGTTATGTACTCACTCTATATCAATAAAACGTAACTGAACCAACCACAACAAAGAGATTATACTTAGCCTCACTATATGTTTCTATTTCTGAGCCAAGAAGCATGTCTCCAAGAAACTTTGTCCTAGAGGTGCATATTGTATTTCCACTATATCTCACATACAGAATTAGAATAAGTTTATTTGCCTATCTTGGAAAAGAAACCTGATGTCAGGAGTTCGAGACCAGCCTGGCCAAGATGTTGAAAACCCCATCTCTACTAAAATATGTATAGTTATACAAAAAAAAAAAAAAACAAGAAATGAAATGGAGAAGTTTGCTAACAGAAAACTAAGTTTATATATACCTCAAAGCAACAGTTAACAAACCAGCTTTATAACTCCTCTCTCTTACAGGTATTATGTAAAAAATAGATTTGGAGGCTCACAAGAAATAAATGACAGAACCAAGATGAAAAAGTAGATTTCTCTCTCATCCATAATATTTTATTCCTGAATGTAATTGAAATTTAAAATTTTTAGATGCAGCACGCACAAAAACCCCATTTTCAAGAGTGTAAATCCAGCTATGGAATATCTTTTCACGGTATGGTATAAAATCCAGCAAAATCTCGAGAGATCACTTGAGTTAGTTTTGCCAAAACAACAACATCCCCATAAATCAGCTGACTTTAAAAAATGACTCACCGCTCCTTCAGTCTTTATCATGGAAGCAGCTCTAGACTGTGAGTCAGGAAGCTCAACTGGGCTCTCAGGATGAACTAGAAAGAAATCACTTAAGAGACCTGTTTGTGTTTCTCTTCTGTCAAGGACACTGTTTACAATGGTGTCACAAGAAGGAAAAAGTGAGAATATTCAATGGATCAAAATACTACATAAATTATTTCCATCCCAAAATCTCTTCTTTGAACTGTACTTTCCAAAACCACAGTATTCTCTTTGATAATGGCTCATTTTTAATCAAAGCTGCTTTGCATTCATGAATTTTCTTCCAAGGTAATCACTAGCTCAAAAATCAGAGACGGGGCATAGGGCAGGGCAAAACTGGATCTATACCAGTTTAAGAGCATTGCTTTTTGCAATGGAAAACTTTCCCTCCCTAGAGTCAAAGAGATCCACCAAAAACCAGCTTCATATAAATCTTGGGCACAATCTGACTTTGCTTCTTTATTGATTTTTCAAAGCTTCATTAATTTTAGACAAATTCAAAAGTTAAAAACTGTGGGAGAGTTGACTGAACATACTTTCCTACTGCAGTTTGTCTATAAATCCTTTCTTTTGAGAAGCTCCGTGCTCAGCCACCAGATTCAACTCTCCCAAAGAAGCAAGTTCAACTCCCCTACTCCCATGCATACACCCCTGCCCCAGGGTGGAGAAGGGCCAGGGGTTCTCAGGTGGCATCAGGTGATTTTTTTTTTCTTTTTTTTTTTTTTTTTTTGAGACGGAGTCTCACTCTGTCACCCAGGCTGGAGTGCAGTGGTGCGATCTCAGCTCACTGCAAGCTCCACCTCCCAGGTTCACGCCATTCTCCTGCCTCCGCCTCCCGCGTAGCTGGGACTACAGGCGCCCGCCACCGCACCCGGCTGATTTTTTTTTGTATTTTTAGTAGAGATGGGGTTTCACAGTGGTCTGGATCTCCTAACCTCGTGATCCGCCTGCCTCGGCCTCCCAAAAGTGCTGGGATTACAGGCGTGAGCCACCACACCCGGCCCAGGTGATTTTTTTAAACTGGCTAATCCCTGATAGTATTTGAAGGTATGTATATTTTCCTTTCTAGAATTCAGGGATCTGCTTCAATGAGAGGGTTAGCGGAGGTGGGAATCAGGCAAAGTCCTCCTTTTTACTGTATCCATCAACACCACTCCTCAGTATAAAGCACTGTTAATTCTTGCAGGAAAAAAATATGTCTATAAACTGTTAGGTTTACTAGTTGCTAGTTTTTATACTTCTATAAAATAGTCTGGATGCACTTTCCATCAGAGTCCAGTAACTAAAGCCATGTTCTGTAACTATTTCACATCAAAGAAAGCAAGTTTGTTGCAATTTCCACAAGGAAGTATATATTCAATGTGTCTGTTATGTTTATAGGTTCCAAAGAAAGCACACACTTATCTGAGAGCCCAGACACAGCATACAATCCGCTTTGACAAGACATTTCTCAGTGACCACCTTTCTCAACTCTAGGAATACAATAAACCAAATACTTATTGTTTTCAAAATATGACCCCCAAAAATCTAAATTTTAAAAGCATTTAATTGCATTTTAGTCAAGAAATGTCTTCCAGCTTTAAGAGAAGAAATCAGCCACAAAACAAATTTCCTACTCTTAGGTTTTAACACAGCCTTAATTTATAAAAGTCCACAAGCCAAGAAATACTTAGGTAATCTCTCAATTCAAAGTACTTCTAGCTTATGTAGGGGAGACTAAAATGTGGGAGACAGTATCTTGTCTTAAGGAGTGAACTACAGGGATGGGAATACACCGCCTAATCCATTTGCATAAAAAATTAGTCATATATCACCCATCAATAACAAATCAGGAATCAAACTAAACAATGAACAAAGAAACTGGTGTGCTTAAACACTGAGCTACAAATCTGTAAGTACAATGAGTCTGTCGGTCTAAATTAATTGTCTCAAGAGCAAACAAACACTAATGTGTAGTAGTACATGGTCAAGATTTCACTACCTGAGATTTTACATCACAGGTGATGTTTTGGTTTCTCTTAGCATTACTCAGGGCAACGTGGCCCAGCTTTAGAGTTTCCCTGAAATCCCAAAATATCTTGAATCTTCTCCATATATTCTCTTTGGATCTCAAAGATTACCTTCTCTCCCACAGAGCACAATTATCTGAATGAGCTTGGACCACATTCCAGGTGTAACCAAAGAAAATGCACATTTACAAAATGTGAGATATACTCCCAACACACAGACTAAGAAAACAACAGACATAACAGTCTTGTGGCTTTGTTCCTAGTTCCAGGGCATGTCGGAAGGTGGGGTAGAGGATCAGAAATAAGCACAATTCTCCTATTTTAATTGCTGGCAAGTTGAACCACCACACTGATAACTCAGGATTATTACATATTACAAACAACCAATTTTAGCAGGAATCATTCTTTGTACTGTTATACTGAGGCTTGGCAGCTCCCTTTAACATCTCACCTCAGCATTAAAGAGGAAGCATAAGGGAGGAAGTGTGCAAAGCAGATCTGGAGTCAGGCGTTGCTCCACCTTTGTGACCTCAGGCAAGAAACAGCCAGGCTGGACCTCAGTTTCCTCAACTAACAAATGTGGATAATAAAAGTACTTACCCATTTAGGTGCCTGAGAAGAGTCAGAGCTAATCCAATTAAAGCTGCTTAATGCTGTGCCTGGCACACAGCAGTGTCCAATTTAGCTTGTGTCTCATTTTATTTTTATCATTAGTTTAAGAGCGCTGGCATTGAATCTCTCACACCTGGGTACAAATCCCTGCGCTATATTACTGAGATCTGTCACACAGCATTTACTAACTTCTTAGATCAAGGTATCTTAATCTTAATTTTCTGCCATGGACCTCTGTAGCAGTCTGACAATAACAGCACTATCAGAAAAATGTTTTTAAATACATTAAATAAAATACATAAGAATACAAAGGTACCAGATTATATAGACAAGCACCTATTAAAATATTTAAAAGAAATCAATGGTACAGTAGTGTTTTTCTTTACTACTGAATTAAGCAAGATAAAGCAGTTCCTTAATTTCCTGAGTGGAGAGCACAAAAGGTGTTTGAAGACATCTGCAACAATTGTATTAAGATTATGAAAAGACATATAGTTTCTATTGTGATAACATCACAAGGACTGGTACTATAGTTTTATCTCTAGTCCTACTTAAAAAAAAAAAAAACACTAAATTTCAGCTAGAGGTTAACAAAAATAGAGACACAACTTGTGTTTCTCATCCAAGTTCTACTACTTGGCCCCAGATTAAGAACCACTTTCTTAAAACTCAATAAAATGGAAGCAGAGGATAAACCACTGTGTTGAGAAGAAGAAATATAAAAAGCAGGTAGCACATAGGAGGTACTTTATACAGAGAAGCTCTTTCCTTCCTAGAAAGTTCTATTTCGTAGGAAAAAAACATTGTCTCATCCAGCCCAAACATGAACATTTAACATCCATTTCTCTCCATGATCTGAGTCTTCAGACGTGTTAAGTCTTCTGAGACCTCCCAAAATCACTGTTCTACATCAAATATCAGCTTGAAGAACCCTACTACTTTAAATATGTGAGACCAAACTGCTTTCTAGCAAAACACAGTTGAAAGAGAATGTATATATAACTCCTAAGTCTCCCTTAGCACCAACTGCTGTCAAAACTAAAATAAAATCGCACAGAACAGTTTGGATCTCATAATAATCACTAATGCCTTGTCATCACTCTTCTTCAACGCTCATTACAAAAACAGTAACAAACCATGGAAAGACGGGGCTTCAGGTTCTTACAATAGCGCTCCTCTGACAGCAACTGCAGTTCATTATCCTCTCTCCCCTTCACCACCCCGGCGCGTTCCCGGTCTTTGCCTACTCAGCAGATTCACGTAAGCGGGGCCGTTTTATGTGGAATCGTACATTCTAGCAGTAAAATTTTCACTCACCAGGCAAATTCTCACCCACCCTCTCCAAGGTGAACTATGTTTTACATTAATCGTATTTCTAAACTTCCCCTCGAGACAACAGCAAGAAATCCAGAAAACCGAGGGGTAGGCGCACAAAGAATCTAAATGGAAATTTGGGCAAGGGCGGACAAGTGAAATCAACTTAATGTCCCGGAAAATAACAGTTCTGGGGGAAGAAGGGGGCTATCTAACTTTAATCTTCACTTTAACTCCATCCCTCTCTCCGCTGTGCAGAAATTGTCCAGCATGTTCTCCAAACTGCTTTTTATCTGACATTTAGTCAAGCCACAGCCTCGGGAATGATGAGAAGGCAATGACAAAGCTGCTTCCTGTCCGTCTCCTTCCCCGCACCCTGCCCTCCCCCGCAACCTTCAGCTCCCCTCGCCACGAACGCGTTTGAAAAGTTTCTCCGGTGCACGGCTTACCTTGACTGGGCTGCCATAATTCAGCTTATAGAGCCAGGGGTCTTCCGTCCATGAGCGCCTTCACCCCGCGGGCCCTGCTGCCAGCGCCGCGCTCACCATTTGGCGGAGCCGGGCGGGGACGCGTCCCGGCGCGGCGCCCCGATGTTACGGGACTACCTGCTCTCGAGCCCCGGGCGTCCTCGGCGCAGCCCCGGGCTCGGCCCGTATTGGCTCGCGCTAATCCTGATGGACATCCGGGCACTGGGGCCTCTGCGGCGATCTGCACTTCAGACGAGCCCGGGGAGCGCCGCGTCCGAATCCGGGGCAAGCGAGCGCCCCCGGCGCAGTTTCTGAGAAGGGAAAGCCAGCGGGCCCCCACGCTCGAAGACCGCCGGCGCCCAACGCCTGCCCAGCAACAGCACAACGCGGGCCACAGTTAGAAAGGAAAAGAAATTGCCTCTGGGCTCACTTGAAGTTGTCCGAGTCCGCCGGGATACCCCCTGTCAAGAAAGTTGCGGTGGTACGGCCCGCCTACTTAAATGGGCAGGGCGCTCGGCGGCCCTAGCCAAAGGCAGGCGGCAAGCGGCAGGCAGGGTCGGGTAGGGGGCAGAGCCTGGGCGCCGACAAGCCCTGCTGGTCCCCGGCCGAGCCCCGCCTGCGGGCTCCTCGAGAGTGCTCTCTTGCCAGGTTCTAACTACGTACAGACACCCACCGCTGGAATACACAGTACCCAGCCGCTCAGAACTCCAGCTCCAATTTGAATATTTGTTGAATATGGGGCCCCCAGAGGCGGCAGTGAGCAGGAACAAGACCGCGGCAGTAAACCACGTTCGCTACTTTTGATCCTTCCAGTGCTTGAGCTCAAGAAACGGGCATACTTGGTGTTACTCCGCTTTCAGTTTTGATTTCCTTACATAGAGACAAATATTTACAAAACAGCCCGCCTTTTTTGGACTACACGTAGATTACAGGAAAAATAGTACCTCATTTTGGTCTTAAGCAATGAAGGGATTGACAAGAAGCAAACAAAAAACTTGAGCATGCAATATAGTAAGTCCTATACGAAGCACAAACGAAATCACTTCCTACTCAGAGGACCATGGAAAGCGTTTAAGCCGTGCCTCAAAAGCAGGAAAATACTTGGATGAGCAAGGATGGAGGGAGGTTGTGCTTCAGCATCTCATAGGGACCAGCACACCGGAGGAGCTGAAGACTCTTAGATGAATACTGAATAACTGCCTGCACTGTGGACTCTCCGTTCTTCTACCTAGAATCATGACAACATTGCCCGTCTCATAAAGAGATAGTCCAGATTGTATTACTAAATCGTCGTGAAATACAAACATGTTAATGCCTGGCACTAAAACGACAATGCTGGGAGGGAGGCCCAAGGCACCTCTATCAAGGGTTCTCAAAGTGTGTTTACTAGATTCCTGGGAGTCCCCAAGACCCTCTCAGAGGTCAGAACTATTTTTAGAATAACACAAAGACATTGTCTTTTCACTGTGCTGACATTTGCACTGATGGTGCAAAAGCAATTATGGGGAAACTGCTGGCGCCTTCGCACTAACCAAAGCAGTGACAGCAAATGAAACTAGTAGTCACTGCATTCTTCACTACCACACGTTATTTTTTTTTAAGCGTTTCCTTTATGATTGTCGTTAATGAAGCAAGCAGTCAGAATTATTACGTTCATTAAATCTTGACCCTTGAGCATGGGTCTTTTTGATGTTCTTTGTGATAAAATGGGAAGTACCCAGGAAGCAGTCCACTGCACACTTAAGTACAATGGCTGTCTAGAAGAAAAGCACTTGTGTAATTGAGTTGCAAGCTGAGCTAGCTTTTTTTTCATGGACTACCATTTTTACTTGAAAGAACAATTCACAAACTGTAGTTATTCTGACTTGGGTATCTGGCAGACATTAAAAATGAACAAAGTTGAGCCTGTTTCTTTGAGGAAAACAATTGACAGTACTTATTGCCAATGATGAAATTTGAGCTTTCAAGCATTTTGGAAGACTTTTTGCATCTGCCACATAATCTTGCCAGCTTCGCCAATACTTAAAGACTTTCCTGATGAGATCAGAGTGACAGTGATGAAAGTTATATGAGAAGATCTGCCTTAGTTTTGAAATGACCAATGGTATAACAGAATCATACATGGGTAGGCCAGGTGCAGTGGCTCACGCCTGTAATCCCAGCACTTTGGGAGGCTAAGGCAGGCAGATCGCTTAAGCTCAGGAGTTTGATACCAGAGCCTGGACAACATGGTGAGACCCCATTTCTACCAAAAACACAAAAAATTAGCTGAGCATAGTGGCACGCATCTCTGATCCCAGATACTTGGGAGGTGGAAGTTGCAGTGAGCTGAGATTGTGCCACTGCACCCCAGCCTGGGTGACAGAGTAAGACTCTCTCTCAAACAAAAACCAAAATCATGCATGGATGAAAGATCCACTGAAAAAAAGTGCAAAACAGACCAACTGATTTTAATGTATCAAAGGTTTAGTTTTTTTAAAAAGCTCATTTCAGATTCCACAATGCAATTAACCTTTAAGAAACTAACACTTACAGAGTTTTGGTATAATATCAAAGAAGGTATTAAAAATACTCATCCTCTTTCTGTGTGAAGTTGGATTTTCTTTATAGACTTCAACCAAAACAACATTGCAACAAATTGAATAGAGAATCAGATTCAATCTGTTTGGGTTGGGCATCCCAAATCTGAAAATCTGAAATCCAAAATGCTCCAAAATCCAAAACTTTTTGAGTACTGACATGACGCTCAAAGGAAATGCTCACTGGAACAAGAATATATAATGCAAATATTCCAAAATCAGAAAAAATCTGAAATCCAAAACAATTCTGGTCCCAAGCATTTTGGATAACCTGTATGAGAATCTAGCTGTCTTCTATTAAGCCAGACAGTAAAGAGATTTGCATGAATGTAAAATAATGCCATTCTTTCTCAATAATTTTTTTAATTTTGGAAAATTGGTTTTATAAAAGTTTTATTTAGGTCAATATGTAATGGGTTTTAAAAATAAATATTTTAAATACCTCAATTTTAATTTTTAATGTAGTAAATAATATCTAAAATGTACATATACAAAAGCTCTTTGGGTTTCACAGTAATTGAGGTGCAAACTTATTCTATATCATTTGCTAAATACTTCCATGTCTCCCTCACCTCTCCACACTCATCGAGCCTTCTTTTAATTAAAGGTGTTATATATTACAGCTATTCCATGTAACCTCTTAGCACCTAGATTCAGTTTTAGCAAAATGTGGTCAAACCACCTGGGGCATATGTTAAAAACAGACTCCAGATCCTAGTTGCAGAACTACTGAAATAGAATCCTTGTGGGGTGAGGTCCCAGGAATACGCATTTCAATAAATTCTCCAGGTGATGCTTGTGGTCTGCTTTCATTTGAAAGCCATTTACCTAGATCATGCTTATTTAGAAAATAATTTTAAGAAGTTTTTGGTTCAGTCTTGATTTATAATCCTTGAATCATTCTAAGGACCATAATTGGCCAACATTTATTTTCATTTGTAAGAAATCTATATCGGACAACAAAATACCTTTGTACGCATATTTTCTTTTGCAATAGTAAATATTCAAGGAAACCAGGCAAAAGTCTACTCTCAATAATTTTTTGGTGGCTGTTTTTCCCCATTTTTCTCTTGCTGTTTTATCTATATTGACTGTGATCATTTATGCTATAAACAAATTAGTATCAGACATAATTGCTGAAAAAATACTTCATAATAGCACTTACTCATAATATGTCCATTTAGCACAGGCTAGAAATGTAACATTGATAATATTAAAATTATACTTTTTGAACTATGTTAATTGATCTGACACCACTTAAATATGAGGAAACAGACCAGGCATAGTGGCTCATGCCTGTAATCCCAGTGCTTTGGGAGGCCAAGGTAAAAAGATCGCTTGAGGGCAGGAATTTGACACCAGCCTGGGCAACATAGCAAGTCCTTGTCTCTATTAAAAAACAATTTAAAAATTAGCTGGATATATAGTTCTAGCTACTTGGGAGGCTGAGGCAAGAGGATTGCGTGAGCCCAGGACTTCATGGCTGCAGTGAGCTATGAGAACACCACTGAACTCCAGCCTAGGTGACAGGGCAAGGCCTAGTCTCAAATAAATGAATAAATGGAAAAAAAATTTTAATACAGCAAATATTTACCCCCAAAGATATATGGAATCAATACCAGATTAGAATTACACCTGAGATTCCCTGGGCTCTCAAAATGGTTTGTAATGTAAATTCATGGGAGTAATTTGAAACAAGTGGGATGATACTAGATTATAATACATCTAAAATTACTAAGTACAGGAGAAATGATTTGTGACTTGGATACTGTATGTGGCTAAAAAAGTACTGCAATACCAACATGGGCATTATTATTTCCAAGTGTTTTGAAAACACCATTGTATCCAACCCACCATCTTCATCAGCAGTGAAACTGAACAAAAAGGCATTCTTAACCTTTGAGGGGCAAAGAATTCTTTGGCTTTCTGATGAAATTTGAGGACACTGAAGTACAACCTTTGTTAAACTTCCATGCAATTTGATTCCCCTGAAACCCACTTAGGAAGCACGTGAGGCTCCGCAGATTTCAGGTTAAGAATCCCTGGACCCGGCTCCTGCTAACAGACCCAATTTACCCTACAAATAAGGAGTAAAATCGCCCGTTAATCTTTATTGCCCAGCTGGGCACGGTGGCTCATGCCTGTAATCCCAGCACTTTGGGAGGCTGAAGTAAGTGGATCACTTGAGGTCAGGAGTTTGAGACCAGCCTGGCCAACATGGTGAAACCCTGTCTCAGGCATGCTGGCATGTGCCTGTAGTCCCAGCTATTCAGGAGGCAGAAGCAGAAGAATTACTTGAACCTGGGAGGCAGAGACTGCAGTGAGCCGAGATCGCACCACTGCACTCCAGCCTGGGCAACACAGTGAGACACCATCTCAAAAAAAAAAAAAAAAAAAAAAAACTTCATTGCCCTTTTAACAACTTAAGAGTTGACCAGGCCTGGTGGCTCACACCTGTAATCCCAGCACTTTGAGAGACTGAGGTGGGAGGATCACTTGAGGCCAGGAGTTGAAGACCAACCTGGGCAACATAGGAAGATCTCACCTCCACTAAAAAAATTTTTGTAATTAGCTGGGCATGGTGGCTCACACTTGTAGTCCCAGCTACTCAGGAGGCTAAGGCAGGGGGATCACCTGGGCCCAGGAATTTGAGATTACAGTGAGCCACTTCACTCCAGCTTGGGCAACAGAGCAAGACCGTCTCTGGGAAAAAAAAAAAAAAAGGAAAAGAAAAGAAAAAATTTAAACAGGTTGCCTTATTCCGAATTCTAACATACCTCATTCAATGTATGCATTTGTACCACAATGGTCATTCAACAATTCTACCCTTTGTAGCATTTTTGGTCTAAACGTCACATAGGTCAAATCCCCTAAGAACTGCTACTTCATTTCAATGGAATGATGTTTAACCAGGACACTGCTAAAATCACTTTGCCAAGAGAAGGGTGCTCAAGGTTGCCATTGAAAATCTCAAGTGAAGCAGACACAGGAAGAGGGAGGAGATAATGGAGGAGAATAAAAACAGGCATTACCCAGAAGGCAGACAGCAAGGAGGACTGCTAATGAGCACCACTGGAAATTAACCGGCTCTCCCTTCAGCTGTGACTTCAACACAAAGCAGCCCTCCTATCCTTATTTCACACTTTCCAGGTTCTCTGCCTTTATCTTTAAACTGGGGTTACCTGGAGATTCTCACGACCTAAGGGCAAATCTATTTCTAGATCCTTAATATACAAATGTCCTCTTTCTTACAACCAGGATTCAGGCTCTCACTTCCCACTTGGTTTTCTCCACTTGAAAAAGAAAAGCACGAGCCGGGCGCGGTGGCTCACGCCTGTAATCCCGACACCTTGGGAGGCCGAGGCGGGTGGATCACGAGGTCAGGAGATCCAGACCATCCTGGCTAACACGGTGAAACCCAGTCTCTACTAAAAATACAAAAAATTAGCCAGGCGTGGAGGCAAGCGCCTGTAGTCCCAGCTACTCGGGAGGCTGAGGTAGGAGAATCGCTTGAACCTGGGAGGGGGAGGTTGCAGTGAGCCGAGATTGCACCACTGCACTCCAGCCTGGTGACAGAGCGAGACGCCGTCACCAAAAAAAAAAAAAAAAAAAAAAAAAAAGTAGAAAAAGGAAAGCAGTCCTCTCATCCACCCCAAATCAATATTAAAATGGTGCATTACTCCAGGTGTAATACCTCTGAGGCCCCCAAAGGAACAGTTCTCTGTAGGAGGAGAGTCCCCGGGGTTAAATCAATATTAATAGATAGATCCTCATTAAACACATCCAGGTAACAAGCCTGCGGCAAGGTGCCTATGCCTGACTATATACAAATTAGAATTATGAAATGAGATGTATAGGGCCATCAGAAGTTAGACTTTCTCTAATAAAATAAATCTGATTCAACTGTTTGGTTCAAGAATAAAGATTTACAGTTTTTCAACATTCTTGTAGGAGGTATACAAGCAAAAATGTATACAAATTACTGCTCAACTTTACCTCTTCACTCAATGTTTTTTTCTTTACCTGATCTGGTCTACAGTTTTCCATATCTCCTCCTATTTGTGCATTAATAAAACATGCCCTTCCTTACCCTAATACCCTGATCAATCAGGGATATTAGCCTACAATTATACCAATTACTTATTATCAGTCTACAAACAAGCTCAAGTTCCCCCACTTCCTCTGCCACACACACACACACACACACACACACACACACACAGAGTTTATTTTTTAATAAATGTTTTATTTTAGAATAACTTTAGATTTACAAAAAAGTTGCAAAGGATTATACCCCCACCCAGCCAGTTTCCTGTTTATATCTTACACTACCATTGACCACTTGCCAAAACTGAGAAATCAACATTGGTCTATTACTATGAAATAAACTTTAGACTTTGTTTTGATTTTACCACTTTTTCCATCAATGACATCTTTCTGGTCCAAGATGCAACCCGAGGTATCCTAAAACTGCATTATTTCTCAGTTTTTCCTTGTTTTTCGTGACAGTTTTGAGAAGTTTAGGCTGGCTATCCCGTAGAATGTTCCTCTATCTGGTTTTGGCTGTTTTCCCTTCAAAGGAGGGAGAGAATGAAGCAGACACAGGAAAAGGGGTGGTAATAGCTATACATATTTGAAATTCTTCTCTAAGAAAGATTTGCCTCTTCTCCATTTATTTACTCATTCAATTATTTATTTATATGAGCATGCTCTCACAGGTATTTCCTTTGAACTTTGTATCATAAGCCACTACATGATTGATTTTGTTATCAAATTGTTCCAGCCTTGGCCACTGGGAGCCCCTTCAGGTTGGCTCCTTGCCCCTTTGACATGCCCCATCCTTTTGTGTTTCGAGCACCCTTTCCTTTCTGTTACTACAGGATGCTCCAGGCTCATCATCTATTTTCTCTACCCTAGTCCCAGCACAAGGCATTTCTCCCAATACATTGGTTTCTTCTCTGTAAACGCTACCACCCAGTCTCCTTCTGCCATCACTGCCAAGCTTCTTACACCAAGAGAAGTCGGCTTCCTTTATGATGCCAGTGACCACCTCCCATGAAAGGCTCTCTGCAGACTTCAAGCAACTCAATCTTATTTTACAATTCTTTCTGCTCACACATCCAGGATCCAGGATAGAGTTCTAACAAACCTTACTTGTCTCTTCTCAATCTAAATGCTGTCTTGTACAATATCATCAGTAACTCTCTAAATGTGTAACTCCAACCTAAACTTCTCTCTGTAACTCCAAGACTATTTGTTCTAGATGCCCCAAAACACTTTCCTGGGCATGAAAAGGCACTTGGGAGGTTGTCCAAAATAGAACATTTTCTCATTGTGTCTACACAATAAGATCCTCCCCATCTGGATGCAGTTACAACAGATGCTGAGAGATATCTATCAATGAGACTTAGCTGCCTCTAGGGTCTGTAAGGGGTGGTTTCTCCATACAGGAAGAAGATAGTATCTCCTTCACAAAAAAAGGAATTAAAAAAGACTAGGGGAAAAGTGTGTTTAGTTAGTTCCTTCCTTGGGAATAAAAGCAGAAGGCAGAATTCAAAGAGAGCTTCCTATAAGCAGATCAGGAGGGACTTGGCTAACACAAAACTAAAACATTCCATATTTTACCGTGTGTTTTTTAACTGTGAAGATCAGCAATAAACCCCTTAAAATAAGATCAGCCACATTAATAATTTGTTGAATAGCAAACACCAGTGAGTGCGAAGGAGTAGTGATGCCTTTCAAAAGGAAAGGGAAACAGGGAAGAGAAAGAGACAGCCTGAGAAATGGTCCCAAGGCCAGACCAGGCCAGAATTCATCTGAATGGCCCCAATTCCAACCCACTCCATTCCTCCTGGCCCCTAATTTATGAGCCAATCACCAATCATCCAAACTAGAGATCCTTTTCCTGGCTTGTTCTCCACACATATTGCTACCAAAATCCCAGAGATTTCTTGAGATACTGAAAGTAGAGGGATGGGAGTGGGAAGAGCTCACTTTAGATACTTCTCTTTATTTCTGAATTTATAACACTGATCTCTAATTCCTCCCATCACCACTACCACCCCCTCCACTGAATAAGCTTTCACCCTCTTGTTTTACAAAAAATACTTAATGACAAGGAAGACATTCATAGTATCAGAGTTTTTTGATTAATAAAAAAGCAGGTACAAAATACAATAATTTTTAAAAGGAAAAAAAAACAGGTACAATACAGTATGTTTGTTAGTATCCCACTTCATCAAAATTGAATGAAATGTGTATTCAAAAGATTGATGGGGCCTCTGTAGCAAAATGCTAGCAGTAGGTATCTCTGAATGGAACAGTCAGATGACGTTATTTTCTTCTGGGTATTTAAAAATTGTCTAAACGTTATAAAATGAACACACACCTGTTTTTGTAGTCACAAAACTGAATCACAATTATTCTAAAAACAAAACAACTATAATCAAGTCTTAGTTCCAGGAAGGAGGTAAGGGTCATCTAATCCACTTCTCCATGCAAGAATGCTCTTTCTTCTAGCGAGACTAGCTTGTTTGCATGTCTCCAGGGACATCTGTTGTCATTACAAGGCAGCCCCTTCCACAGCAGGCCAATGATGAGGATTAGAAACTTCTATCTCTCATGAAGCTAAAATAGAGCCCTGTTCCATTGGTTCTACTTCTGCCCTCTTGATACTAAAGCTGTCCACGCAGTTTTCTTGTTTTTTTTTTTTTTTTTTTTTTTTTTTTTGAGACGGAGTTTCGCTCTTATTGCCTAGGCCAGAGTGCAATGGCACAATCTCAGCTGACTGCAACCTCCGCCTGCTGGGTTCAAGCGATTCTCCTGCCTTAGCCTCCCAAGTAGCTGTGATTACAGGCATGTGCCACCACACCTGGCAAATTTTTTGTATTTTTAGTAGAGACGAGGTTTCTCCATGTTGGCCAGGCTGGTCTGGAGTCCTTGACCTCAGCCTCGGCCTCCCAAAGTGCTGGGATTACAGGCGTGAGCCACCATGCCCAGCCTCACTCAGCTTCTTAGGCCTGTTTTTTTCTATCCTTTTCTCTTAAGTATGCATTTTTTTTTTTTTGAGATGGAGTCTCGATCTGTTGCCCAGGCTGAAGCGCAGTGGCACAATCTTGGCTCACTGCAAGCTCTGCCCCCAAGGTTCACACCATTTTCCTGCCTCAGCCTCCCAAGTAGCTGGGACTACAGGCGCCCGTCACCACACTCGGCTAATTTTTTGTATTTTTAGTAGAGATGGGGTTTCACCGTGTTGGCCAGGATGGTCTCGATCTCCTGACCTTGTGATCCACCTGCCTCGGCCTCCCAAAGTGCTGGGATTACAGGCATGAGCCACTGCGCCCAGCCCAAGTATGCATTTTTAAATATTTAGAATGCATGTGCCTTAATCCATTTCCTGCTGCCTATAGCAGAATACCTGAAACTGGGTAATTTATTTTAAAAAGGAATTTATTCCTTACAGTTATGGAGGCTGGGAAGTCCACAGTTAAGGGGCCACACCTGGTGAAAGCCTTCTTGCTGGTGGGGACTCTAGAGTCCCAAAGTGACATGGTGAGGGAGCTGAGCATGCAAACATGCTACTGCAGGTCTCTTCCTCTTATAAAGCCACCAGTTCAGGCCAAGCGTGGTGGCTCATGCCTGTAATCCCAGCACTTTGGGGGGCCAAGGCGGGCGGATCACCTGACCTCAGGAGTTCGAGACAAGCCTGGCCAACATGGTGAAACCCCGTCTCTACCAAAAATACAAAAATTAGCCAGACATGGTGGTGGGCACCTGTAATCCCAGCTACTTGAGAGGCTGAGGCAGGAGAATCACTTGAACCCGGGAGGCAGAGGTTGCAGTGAGCTGAGATCGTGCCACTGCACTCCAGCCTGGGCAACAGAGCAAGACTCCCTCTCAAAAAAATAAAATTAAATTAAATTAAAAGCCACCAGTTCTCCTCCCATGGTAACCCATAAACTCGTTAATCTTGAATGCATTCATTCATGAGGGCAGATCCTTCACGATCCAATCACCTCTTAAAGGCTCCACCTTTTAATACTGCCACATCGGGTTTAAGTTTCAACATAAATATTTGTGGGTTTTTTTGTTTGTTTGTTTGTTTTAATTGATCATTCTTGGGTGTTTCTCACAGAGGGGGATTTGGCAGGGTCACAGGACAATAGTGGAGGGAAGGTCAGCAGATAAACAAGTGAACAAAGGTCTCTGGTTTTCCTAGGCAGAGGACCCTGCGGCCTTCCGCAGTGTTTGTGTCCCTGGGTACTTGAGATTAGGGAGTGGTGATGACTCTTAACGAGCATGCTGCCTTCAAGCATCTGTTTAACAAAGCACATCTTGCACCGCCCTTAATCCATTCAACCCTGAGTGGATACAGCACATGTTTCAGAGAGCACAGGGTTGGGGGTAAGGTCACAGATCAACAGGATCCCAAGGCAGAAGAATTTTTCTTAGTACAGAACAAAATGAAAAGTCTCCCATGTCTACCTCTTTCTACACAGACACAGCAACCATCCGATTTCTCAATCTTTTCCCCACCTTTCCCCCCTTTCTATTCCACAAAACCGCCATTGTCATCATGGCCCGTTCTCAATGAGCTGTTGGGTACACCTCCCAGACGGGGTGGTGGCCAGGCAGAGGGGCTCCTCACTTCCCAGTAGGGGCGGCCGGGCAGAGGTGCCCCTCACCTCCCGGACAGGGCGGCTGGCCGGGCGGGGGCCTGACCCCCCCACCTCCCTCCCAGACGAGGTGGCTGCCGGGCAGAGACGCTCCTCACTTCCCAGACGGGGTGGCTGCTGGGCGGAGGGGCTCCTCACTTCTCAGACGGGGCGGCTGCCGGGCGGAGGGGCTCCTCACTTCTCAGACGGGGCGGCCGGGCAGAGACGCTCCTCACATCCCGGACGGGGCGGCAGGGCAGAGGTGCTCCCCACATCTCAGACGATGGGCGGCCGGGCAGAGACGCTCCTCACTTCCCAGATGGGATGGCGGCCAGGCAGAGACGCTCCTCACTTTCCAGACTGGGCAGCCAGGCAGAAGGGCTCCTCACATCCCAGACGATGGGCGGCCTGGCAGAGACGCTCCTCACTTCCCAGACGGGGTGGCGGCCGGGCAGAGGCTGCAATCTCGGCACTTTGGGAGGCCAAGGCAGGCTGCTGGGAGGTGGAGGTTGTAGCGAGCCGAGATCACACCACTGCACTCCAGCCTGGGCACCATTGAGCACTGAGTGAAGGAGACTCCGTCTGCAATCCCGGCACCTCGGGAGGCCGAGGCTGGCGGATCACTCGAGGTTAGGAGCTGGAGACCAGCCCGGCCAACACAGCGAAACCCCGTCTCCACCAAAAAAATACGAAAACCAGTCAGGCGTGGCGGCGCGCGCCTGCAATCGCAGGCACTCGGCAGGCTGAGGCAGGAGAATCAGGCAGGGAGGTTGCAGTGAGCCGAGATGGCAGCAGTACCGTCCAGCTTCGGCTCGGCATCAGAGGGAGACCGTGGAAAGAGAGGGAGAGGGAGACCGTGGGGAGAGGGGGAGGGAGGGAGAGGGGGAGGGAGAGGGGGAGGGGGAAGGGGGTAGATTTTTCTAACTGCCTGTTTGTTTTTTGAGAAAAGGTCTCATTCTGTTGCCCAGGCTGAAGTGCAGTGCTGCAATTTCAGTTGACTGCAGCCTCGGTCTCCAGGGCTCAAGCAATCCTCCTACCTCAGCCTCCTGAGTAGCTGGGGCTACAGGCACACAACACCACACCTGGCTAATTTTTTGTAAAGACTAGGTTTTACCATGTTGCCTAGGCTGATCTCAAACTCCTGGACTCAGGTGATCCACCTGCCTTGGCCTCCCGAAGTGCTGAGATTACAAAGTGTGAGCCACCATGCCTGGCCTGGAGACAGTTTCTTACAGGATATCTAACACCCTTCCCAATTTGGACCAACTTCAGTAGCCTTATCATCCACCAAACCTCTCTCTGTCCCCTCCCCGCTTTCCCATGAACACCCTCCAGCCCCACAGTTCTCTAATGCCACCAACCTTTGCAGACAGTATTTTCTCTTCATTAGAATGCCCCTTTCCCTCTGCTCCAGCTGAAGACCCCTTACCATTATCTAAACTCTAACAAATGCAGCTCTTCTCAGAAGCCTTCTCTGATAGCTTATCCTTCACTCTACCTAACACAAGCTCCTAGTTCTCATGCATATCAAGTCATGATGCTGGATGGATCAAGGGGAGTGTTTGCTTGTTTGAGCAGAAAGGCAGCCAAAACCAATGCAGCCAAAAGATAATTTCTGAAGCAGAGAACTGTGAAGAACTCTGCTACAGTTGCAGCTGCTAAGATTTCCTTTTACACATGTGTTTGCAGGTGAGATCTGCCCCCAGATTGCATAATCTGGGGTTCTCTCATTACACAATCAGTGGACTCTGATCCAGATCCACAAATGGAGCAAGTGAGGATCAATGAACAATTTCCAACATTTCAAAAAATCCAAAGGAAACCACATATTTGACCATGAGAAGTGTGTGAAGGACTCCGCTCTGGGCCTTCCTGGAGCTTATGCCAACTCAGTGTGCCAGCACCAGTGAGCCCACAGTGATCAGGAAGTCGAATTAGCAACTTCGTGTGTTTTGATTAATTCAAGTAAGAAAACAAATGTTTGTTTAAATATAGTTTATTTAGTAGGGGGACTCTTTTTTAGTGCCTTCTGGCAATTTAGTGTGCAGTTGAGTTAGAACCTGTGTTTTAGTGCCTTGTTACTTAAAGTAAGGCTGCAGAGCAGCAGCTCTAACATGAGAGGCCTATAAGAAATGCAGTTTTAGGTCCCATCCCAGATTTCCTGAATCAGAATCTGCATTTTTATATTTTTAATGTATTATTATTTTTTAAGACGGAGTCTCGCTCTGTCTCCCAGGCTGGAGTGAAATGGCACGATCTCAGCTCACTGCAAACCTCCACCTCCTGGGTTCACATGATTCTCCTGCCTTAGCCTCCCGAGTAGCTGGAATTACAGGCACACATTACCATGCCCAGCTAATTTTTTGTATTTTTAGTAGAGATGGGGTTTCACTATGTTGGCCAGGCTGGTCTCGAACTCCTGACCTCATAATCCACCCACCTCAGCCTCCCAAAATGCTGGGATTACAGGCATGAGCCACCATGCCCAGCCCAGAATCTGCATTTTAACAAAATTCAAAGGTGATTCATATACTCATTGAACTCTGAGAAGCACAGTACTATAAAATCTATGACATTTAGGAGTTCCATAAACTCTCAAAGACAAGTGTCCACAATTACTACCATTATTCAGTTTGAAACAGTCTCTGAACAGTATTGTGGCATAGTCATCTATGAGTTATGGGCTTTTCCTGCCCTTGAAACTATCCCTAAATTTTCCTGAACACATATCAGGAAAGGGGAAGGATTTAAGAACTGGAAGATAGGAGATATTCCTCAATCTCTGCAGGGATGTTTTCCTCATTTGTGGGAGAAAAAAACTACATATATAGGCAAGCCACAATGATCAGTAAATTGCAGCTTATTAGTTATACTAAGATCTGGTCTCCTCACACATAAAAGAGGTTACATCAACTACTGGCACTTTCTGTGATACCTAGCCTGTCGTAAATGTGCTGTTTTTATTCCTAGCAAATGTTTGAATCCAAGCAAAACCTAATTGGAGGTATGGATTTTACCTTCCATCTGAGGACTGAGGCTGCCTTCCAAAAAGTTAGGGGAGTTTTATTTGAGGCTTCTTGGCTGTGGACTCTGTTTCCTACCTAGGTCACATGTAAAACAGGAAGATTAAAACTAAATCAAATCAACATTTATTGAGCATTTATTACGTCTAAAGCTCATGCAACCCTATAGGAAAGCATGTTTTTTAAAAAATCTTTGTCTTCTAAGAACTTACTCACTCAAAGAAAGGGCTACTCCATTTTCTAAATCCTACATGTCTTGAAATTACAATTAATCTAGAGAACAAAAAGCTGATTAATAACCAATTATACATATTTTCACGATCAAGGATTTATATGTTATTGAGCTGATTAAATCTTGTCATTTTATACATCATGTTTAAGAATTCATTTAAGAAAATTACAGAAGTTATAGCAACAGAGTTTTTCAGGTTTACAGTATTTCCTACGTTCTCAGAAAGGAGGGGTCTTCCCTTGCTAATACAATTATAACTTTGTCAAGGTGAGAACTTGCAGCTGGGAACTATGCTCCCAACTGACAGACTTGTTAGTGCCCTTACAAGTCACTGACACCTCAAAGCTGGCCAGCTTCATGCCTTAAAACGCTTAACAACTTAATGGGTCCCTACACTGTCACTTGGGAATTCACATAAAGATGACTTTCTTCCAAATATGATAATGTTCCCTCAGTACACGTGGTTGAGACACTTAGTAACAATCTTAGATACCACAGTCCAGCAAAATGGCAAGGAAGGTGTTAGGAATTAATTTTGTAAGTAATATGAATTTACTGAGCATGCACAATATTCCTGGCTCTAAGTGCTTCACCCATATTAAATTAATTCCAAGCCTTTAAGCCAAGTACAATGTCACCATCCTTGCTTCAGAGATAAGAAAAATGAGGCCCCAAGAAAATGGGCAATTTTCTCAGTCATGCAAACTGGTAAGTGGTGGGACTGAGATATGACCCTGCACTCGAGAGTCCATAATCTTCACCACTATGCTGCACAGCCTCTCTTGATAAGCTATTGTTACACTCTTGAGGAAGCAGTCATAGAATCCTATGACTTTTTACAAGCCTTTGGAAAATCACTTTTCCTGATACCTAGATATGTTTCAGCACAGCACTCCCAAATTTGATGTTACTTTCAAGCTCAGCTAGACGACTTCTGCAAAAGGCAAAATAGTAATGTATTATCATGGTTGGTTTGGTTTTCTCGAGAAGTGTCTGAAGGTTGAAAGAAAATTCAATAAATAGGACCAAAGCATCTACCATATTTCAATAATGGAAAAGGATGTAAAAAAAAAAAAAAAAAAAAGCAATTTGAAGTAAACATGAAAACCCAGTCCTGTTGGATTAATTTGTTGATTTATTTTCCAGATGTTTCAGGTACCAACACTAAAGTCTCTGTGGTGATTAGCAAGCCACACTAAAGATGTAGTTAAGGGATGTCCACTGCACCCACATCCTTTAAAAAAAAACGTAGTAAAAAGTCTCAGAGCTGAGAGTTAATGTTACTGAGTCTTAAGGGTAGTAGCCACAGTTATGGAGGCTGGTATCCTCTAGGACAATCATTTTGTGACTATAAAGCGATTTTAAAAGAACCTGGGTCAAAACAATTTCAACAGTATTTTTCTCTTTTGTAAACAAATATATAGTTGCAGAAGGCTATATATGTTGGCTGCATATTTCTTTTTTTTTTTTTTTGGAGATGGAGTCTCACTCTGTCGCCCAGGCTGGAGTGCAGTGGGGCGATCTCTGCTCACTGCAAGGTCCGCCTCCCAGGTTCACACCATTCTCCTGCCTCAGCCTCCCGAGTAGCTGGGACTACAGGTGCCTGCCACCAAGCCCGGCTAATTTTTTTGTATTTTTAGTAGAGACAGGGTTTCACCATGTTACCCAGGATGGTCTCCATTTCCTGATCTCGTGATCCGCCTGCCTCTGCCTCCCAAAGTGTTGGGATTACAGGCGTGAGCCACTGCGCCGGTTTTTTTTTGTTTTGTTTTTTGTTTTGAGACAGAGTCTTGCTCTGGAGTGCAATGGCACGATCTCGACTCACTGCAACCTCCACCTCCTGGGTTCAAGTAATTTTCCTGCCTCAGCCTCCTGAGTAGCTGGGATTACAGGCGCCCGCCACCACGCCCAGCTAATTTTTACATTTTTAGTAGAGACAAGGTTTCACTACGTTGGCCAGGCTTGTCTCGAACTCCTGACCTCAGGTGATCCACCCACCTCGGCCTCCGAAAGTGCTGGGATTACAGGCGTGAGCCACCGCGCTCAGCCTAGGTTACATATTTCTAACAAGCTCAAATAAGCAGATCACAGCTGAGGGAACAAAATAAAATAATAAATAAATATTTTCCACCCAAACAGTTTTCTCAGTACTCATGCATTTATTCTCAGAGTTGAATCAAGTTCCTGGGAAACACACCATTTGGGGCAGCCTCACATTGCCTACATGTAATATTTAACCTTTGGTTTTTTGATAAACCTTGATGACAGCAATTTCATATTACCCAAGTCACCATCTACAAGATACTCCTTTCACTCCCCTTCTTGCTGGCCACTAATGGCTAGCAGTGTTGCTCATGAATGGCACCCTCTCTGAAACCACACTTGGGGTACTCCAGGGACTCAAGAACTTAGGTTCCCCTTCAGTGTGCAGCTCTCCAGAGATTAGTCTTATGGCCTTATGTTTTCTTCACACCGCTTTGATATCAACGCTGACCAAAGCTCTTTGGATATTACCAAAGAAGACGGCCAGAGATTCCTCCTGAAGGCATCTTGCTCTGTCTCCCACAAGTTAGGCAGTCTTTTTTTTTTTTTTTTTTAAATAGGGACAAGGTCTCACTATACTTCCCAGACTGGTCTCCAACTCCTGGCTTCAAGCAATTCTCCTGCCTCAGCCTCCCAAAATGCTGGAATTACAAGCATAAGCCACCCCACCTGGCCAGTTTCAGTCTATTATTATTATTATTATTATTATAATTTAAGTTCTGGAATACATGGGCAGAACGTGCAGGTTACATAGGTATACATGTGCTAAGGTTGTTTGCTGCACCCATCGACCTGTCATCTACATTGGGTATTTCTCCTAATGCTATCCCTCCCCTAGTCTCCCATTCCCTGACAGGCCCTGGTGTGTGATGTTCCCCTCCCTGTGTCCATGTGTTCTCACTGTTCAATTCCCACTGATGAGTGAGAACATGTGGTGTTTGGTTTTCTGTCCTTGTGATAGTTTGCTGAGAATGATAGTTTCCAGCTTCATCCATTTCCCTGCAAAGGACATGAACTGATCCTTTTTTATGTCTGCATAGTATTCCATGGTATATACGTGCCGTATTTTCTTTATCCCGTCTATCACTGATGGGCTTTTGGGTTGGTTCCAAGTCTTTGCTATTGTGAATAGTGCTGCAGTATGCATATGTGTACATGTGTCTTTATAGCAGAATGATTTATAATCCTTTGGGTATATACCCAAGTAATGGGATTGCTGGGTCAAATGATATTTCTGGTTCTAGATCCTTGAGGAATCACCACACTGTCTTCCACAATGGTTGAACTAATTTACACTCCCACCAACAGTGTAAAAGCTTTCCTATTTCTCCACATCCTCTCCAGCATGTTGTTTCCTGACTTTTTAATGATCATCATTCTAAGTGGTGTGAGATGGTATCTCATTGTGGTTTTGATTTGCATTTCTCTAATGACCAGTGATGATGAGCTGCTTTTCATGTTTGTTGGCCGCATAAATGTCTTCTTTTGAGAAGTCTCTATTCATATCCTTCACCCACCTTTGGATGGTGTTGTTTGTTTCTTGTAAATTTGTTTATTTGTAGATTCTGGATATTAGCCCTTTGTCAGATGGATAGATTGCAAAAATTTTCTCCCATTCTGCAGACTGCCTGTTCACTCTGATGGTAGTTTCTTTTGCTGTGCAGAAGCTCTTTAGTTTAATTACATCCTATTTGTCAATTTTGGCTTTTGTTGCCATTGCTTTTGTTGTTTTAGTCATGAAGTCTTTGCCCAATTCTATGTCCTGAATGGTATTGCCTAGATTTTCTTCTAGGGTTTTTATGGTTTTAGGTCTTATGTTTAAGTCTTTAATCCATCTTGAGTTAATTTTTGTATAAGGTGTAAGGAAGGGGTCCAGTTTCAGTATTCTGCATATGGCTAGCCAGTTTTCCCAAACCATTTATTAAATAGGGAATCCTTTCCCCATTGCTTGTTTTTGTCAGGTTTGTCAAAGATAAGATGGTTGGAGATGTGTGGTGTTATTTTTGAGGCCTCTGATCTGTTCCATTGGTCTATGTATCTGTTTTGGTACCAGAATCATGCTGTTTTGGTTACCGTAGCCTTGTAGTATAGTTTGAAGTCAGCATGATGCCTCCAGCTTTGTTGTTTTTGCTTAGGATTGTCTTCGTTATATAGGCTCTTTTCTGGTTCCATATGAAATTTAAAGTAGTTTTTTCTAATTCTGTGAAGAAAGCTGATGGTAGCTTGATGGGGACAGCATTGAATCTATAAATTACTTTGGGCAGTATGGCCATTTTCACGATACTGATTCTTCCTATCCATGAGCACGGAATGTTTTTCCATTTGTTTGTGTCCTCTCTTATTTCCTTGAGCAGTGGTTTTTAATTCTCCTTGAAGAGGTCCTTCACATCCCTTGTAAGTTGGATTCCTAGGTACAGTTTCACAGTCTTAAGAAGGTCCTACAGATAGGCAAATATCGCATGTTTTTACTCAAATGTGGTAGCTAAAAAAAAAAAGTTGATCTAACGGAGTAGAGAACCATATGATGGTCACCAGAGGCTGGGAGGCGGGGTATGGAGAGAGGTTGGTTAATGGTTCAAAACATACAGTTAGATGGAAGGAACAGGTTCTAGTGTTTGATAGCACAGTAGGGTGACTATAGTTAATAACTTATTATATATCTCAAAGCAGTTGCAAGAGAAGGTTTGAAATGTTCCCAGCATAAAGAAATGATACATGTTTTAAGTGATGAACATCCTAATTGCCCTGCCCTGATTTAATCATTACACATTGTATAAATGTATCTAATGTATATGTAACTCCATAAGTATGTACAATTATTATATATCAAAAACAAAAAGAACTACTGAATCAGAAACTCTGGGGTTGGGGGGTGGGCGGGAATAACATGACCCCAGCTTAAAATTGGATAATTTTTTTTTTTTTTTTTGAGTCTCACTCTGTCCCCCAAGCTGAAGTGCAGTGGCACAATCTCAGCTCACTGCAATCTCCACCTCCTGGGCTCAGGCGATCCTCCTACCTCAGCCTCCCGAGTACCTGGGACTACGAGCGTGTGCCACCATGCCCAGCTAATTTTTGTATTTTTAGTAGAGATGGGGTTTCACTATGTTGGCCAGGCTGGTCTCAAACTCCTGGCCTCAAGTAATCCACCCGCCTCGGCCTCCCAAGTGCTGGGATTACAGGCATGACCACTGTGCCTGGCCAGACTGAATGATTTTTAAAACACAAATAATAACTTGCAAAAAGGGGGTGGTGTGCCAAATCATTACTACTCTCTGGTGGTTATTGCTTCTGGTTTCCACATGGGTATTAATCAGTTATCACCTACTGAAGAATTAGGACTTCCACACAGAGGGTTGGCTCTCCACCAAGTCTAACTCATCCCAGTCTATACATTCTTGGTTATCAAGACCCTAAATGACCCCTGACTCAAGGCCCAGAGCTGTTATGTTCAGATCCTGCTCAGGAGGGGACAAATGGTCTGGAAGAGGGTACAGAGCAACTTCCTAGGGTCAATCAGGTCATCCAGCGTGAGCCCTGAAGTTCCTGCCCCCAGAGGTAGACGCATTAAATAAAGTCTTATCCACAAGCAACATTATTGCTTATACATTATAATAATAAGATTCTGAGAAGGAAATCATGAGGGAGTGGCTATTATATAACAGCTAGAGCAGAGCACAGAGAAAGCAGCAAAGACATTTAGTCCTCTTCCTTATTTTACTGATAAGAAATTCAGGATAAGGGTTTTCAGTTTTAAATAGGCTTGAAGATGAGGATTTAAGGCAAGAGAATCACCTGATGCCAGCAGTTTGAGACCAGCCTGGGCAACATAGCAAGACCCCCATCTCTACAAAAAATAATATGAAATTAGCTGGGCATGGTGGTGTGTACCTGTAGTCCCAGCTACTCAGGACAGTGAGGCCAGAGGATCACTTGTACCCAGCAAGCCATGCTCATACCACTGCACCCCAGCCTGGGCAACAGAGACCCTCTCTTTAAAAAATGATGATTTTAAAAATAATAATAATAACCACAATACTATTATGTTATCTAAAATGTTTATTACTTGATATTAATGTAATATTACTTAATATTAATGTAATATTAATAAAATTTCCCTTACTAGCATCAAATATCTAATTATTCTTCCAATTTCATTAGTGTGTTCAGAGCCAAACAGGATCCTTTTATTAAGGGTTGATATGTCTCTTAGGCTTCTTTATAATCTATATTCTTTTTTATGAGATTTATTTGTTGGGGGAAAAACAATTTTTTTTTTCTGCAGAGTTCTAACATTATGAATTTTGCTGACAGCATCCAAGAAGAGTCCTTTAACATGTTTCTCAGTTGAATGTATGTTCTATAAACTGGCTTGATCAGATTTCTGTCTAAATTTTTGGAAAGACTATTTCATAGGTGGTTAGTCTATACCTCATTAAATCACGAGAAGAGGCACAATAGTTAACTCTTTTTAAAAATATCTTAACTTTAAATAATGGATTCAGGGCCAGGCACGGTGGCTCATGCCTGTAACACAGCACTACGGGAGGCCAAGGCGGGTGGATCACCTGAGGTCAGGTGTTCAAGACCAGCCTGGCCAACATGGTGAAACCCTGTCTCCACTAAAAATACAAAAATTAGCTGGGCGTGGTGGCAGGCACCTGTACTCCCAGCTACTCGGGAGGTCGAGGCACAAGATCGCTTGAACCCAGGAGGTGGAGGTTGCAGTGAGTTGAGATCATGCCACTGCACTCCAGCCTGGGCAACAGAGTGAGATTCGGTCTCCAATTACATTAAATTAAATTAAATTAAATTAAATTAAATTAAATTAAATTGAATTGAATTAAATTTTAAAAAAAGGATTCAGGTGTTTAATTAGTCACTTTAAGACATCCCATTACAAAGTTTCTCACCAGCTCTTTACCTAACAGTATTATCAATTAGTGGTAATCTTTGCTTATTCAGAGAGAGGATGCAAAATGATAATGTTATCACTTTTTATTAGTTTTTTTTTCTGTAAATAACTTTTTCTCTATCATTTAGTTACACTGAGTTACAGCTTATTCAAAAAACTAGGATAAATGCTTGATTCTTTTATTATTATTTTTTTAATTATGAGTTAGTTCCCTGCCATTTTCCAAAAGTAACTACTGGATTTTGCTATTTAGTATCATTTTAATTTTTGTTTATTTATTTACTAAGATGGAGTTTTGCTCTTTTCGCACAGGCTGGAGTGCAATGGTGTGATCTTGGCTCACTGCAACCTCCGCTTCAAGGGTTCAAGCGATTCTCCTGCCTCAGCCTCCCGAGGAGCTGAGATTACAGGCACCTGCCACCACGCCGAGCTACATTTTTTTTTTTTTTTTTTGAGACAGTGTCTCGCTGTTGTCGGCCCGGGCTGGAGTGCAATGATCTTGGCTCACTGCAACTTCTGCCTCCCAGGTTCCAGCAATTCTCCTGTCTCAGGCTCCTGAGTAGCTGAGATTACAGGCGCCCACCACCACACCCAGCTAATTTTTGTATTTTTAGTAGAGACAGGGTTTTGCCATGTTGGCCAGGCTGGTCTCAAACTCCTGACCTCAGGTGATCCACCCACCTCGGCCTCCCAAAGTGCTGGGATTACAGGCGTGAGCCCCTCTGCCCGGCCTAAAATATAATTTTATATATATATATATATATATATATATATATATAGTAATACATATTATATATATTATATTTTTATATATTATGCATAATTATATATATTATATTACTATTAATATTTGTATTTATAAAACATGTTAGTTTCCCTTTTCTATTAAATTTAGGATTACAGTGTTTTAAACTGTTTGATTTTGTTTGTATCTCTTTTCTCTATTTGTTTCTTAACAAGTACAATAATAATACCAATACCATTACTAAACATGTTTGCTGAGAACACTTTAAGATTTGTCTTTTTTATTTTTATTTTTTTAGATGGAGTCTCATTCTGCTGCCAGGCTGGAATGCAGTGGCATCATCACAGCTCACTGCAGCCTCAGCCTCCTGGGCTCAAGCAATCCTCCTGCCTCAGAATCCCAAGTAGCGGGACTATATGCCCAGCTACTTTTTAAAATTTTTTATATAGACAAGATATTGCTATGCTTCGCAGGCTGATGTCAAACTCCTGGACACAAGCAATCCTCCCACCTCAGCCTCCCAAAGTGCTGGGATAACAAGCTTAAACCACTGTATCCAGCTTTCTTTCTTTTTCATCCTTAAGATGTATCTTGGCCAGGCACAGTGGCTCATGCCTGTAATCCTAGCACTTTGGGAGGCCGAGGCGGGCGGACTGCCTGAGCTCAGAGTTCGAGACTAGCCTGGGCAACACGGTGAAACCCTGTCTCTACTAAAACACAAAAGAAATTAGCTGCACATGGTGACGTGCGCCTAGTCTCAGCTACTCGGGAGGCTGAAGCAGAATTGCTTGAATCCAGGAGACAGAAGTTGCGTGAGCTGAGATTGCACCACTGCACCTCAGCCTGGGCAACAGAGCAAGACTCAGTCACAAAAAAAAAAAAAAGAAAAAAAAATGTCACTTGGAAAAAAAAAAGGGTCACTTGAAATACAGTTCTCACTTTGAAAAATAGTGCAGGACCATAGAAACGACTATGAAAGCCGAAACTGTGCCAAACAACCTTAATCATCAACAGGAAAAATTACGATTGTCCACAGCATTTACAAATTTCTGTCAAAATGCTAATAATTCTGTCACTTACACATTTATAAAGAAATGAAAAAAGTAATATTTAGTAGGCTATGATTTAAAACACTAGATACATTGGCAAAGCATTTCTTTTTTCTTTTTCTTTTTTTTTGAGATGGAGTCTCGCTCTGTCACCCAGGCTGGAGTGCAGTGGCGCCATCTCAGCTCACTGCAAGCTCCACCTCCCGGGTTCACACCATTCTCCTGCCTCAGCCTCCCGAGTAGCTGGGACTATAGGCACCCACCATCACGCCTGGCTAATTTTTTGTATTTTTAGTAGAGACGGGGTTTCACCGTGTTGGCCAGGATGGTCTCGATCTCTTGACCTCGTGATCCACCTGCCTCGGCCTCCCAAAGTGCTGGGATTACAAGCGTGAGCCACTGCGCCTGGCGACAAAGTATTTTATTTGTTTTTTGTTTTTTTTTTTGGTTTTTCATTTGAGACAGAGTCTTGCTCTGTCACCCAGGCTAGAGTGCAGAGGCGCCATCTCGGATCAATGCAACCTCCACCTCCGGGGTTCATGCAATTCTCAGTAGCTGAGATTAAAGACGTGCACCACCATGCCCAGCTAATTTTTTATATTTTTAGTATTTTTATTTTTTAATTTTTTTATTTTTTGAGACACAGTCTCGCTCTTGTTGCCCAGGATGGAGTGCAATGGCGTGATCTCGGCACACTGCAACCTCTGCCTCCTCCTGGGTTCAAGTGATTCTCCTGCCTCAGCCTCCTGAGTAGCTGCGACTACAGGCATGTGCCACCATGCCCGGCTGATTTTATATTTTTAGTAGAGACGAGGTTTCTCCATGTTGGTCAGGCTGGTCTCAAACTCCGACCTCAGGTGATTCTCCCACCTTGGCCTCCCAAAATGCTGGGATTACAGGAGTGAACCGCTGTGCCCAGCCTTAGTTTTAGTATTTTTAGTAGAGAGAGGGTTTCATCATGTTGGCCAGGCTGGTCTTAAACTCCTGACTTCAAGTGATCTGCCAGCCTTGGTCTCCTAAAGTGCTGGGATTACAAGCTTGAGCCCACTGTGCCTGGCCTGACAAAGTATTCTATTTCTTTGTGTCTTAGTCTAACTCAGGCTTATAAAACAAAACACTAAAAACTGGCTTGCTTATAAACAACAGAAATTTATTTCTCACAGTTCTGGAGCTGGGAAGTCCAAGAGCAAGGCACAAGCAGATTCAGTGTCTGGTAAAGGCTCACTTCCTGGTTAAAAGAAGGCGTCTTCTACCTGTGCCCTCACACAGTGGAAGGGGCAAACAAGCTTCCTTTTTTTTTTTTTTTTTTTTTTTTTTTGGAGACAGAGTCTTACTCTGTCGCCCAGACTGGAGTGCAGTGGCACGATCTCGGCTCACCACAACCTCCGCCTCCTGGGTTCAAGCGATTCTCCTGCCTCAGCCTCCAGAGGAGCTGGGATTACAGAGACCTGCCACCACGCCTGAATAATTTTTTTTGTATTTTTAGTAGAGACAGGGTTTTGCCATGTTGGCCAGGCTGGGCTCAAACTCTTGACCTCAGGTGATCTGTCTGCCTTAGCCTTCCAAAGTGCATGAGCCACCACGCCCAGCCCAAGTTCTTTTATAAGGGCACTAATCCCATTCATGAAGGTTCCACCCTCATGACCTAATCACCATCAAAGGCTCCACCTCTGAATACTGTCACTCTGGGGGTTAGAATTTCAACATATAAATTTGGGAGGGGGATACAAACAGACTACAGCACTTTGTAAAAAAAAAAAAAAAAAAAAAAAAAAAAAGCCAATTTTTTTTCTTTGAACAGCGCTTGCCTTCTTCTTGTCATATAATTTCTGACACAATGTGAACATCTTTTCTTTGCCTTAGCAAACTGTTGTACTCCCTGCTAAGTATGGATCAACTTCCAACATTGAATCCTTTGCTCCTTCAATGTGGTAAAATCTCTCTGCAAGTTTCTCTAATACAAAGTGTTTGTGAGGCACCACTTCCTCTGGGACATCTTCATCCTTTTCCTCACAATGACTTTCCTCATTTATATCAGTAAGTTGACTTTCAGTAAATTTCTTCACTGCACATTCCCACAGTCAGCTATTTCTTCTGTAACTTCATTAACATTCTGCAGAATCTCACTTCAGTGCTGTCACTTCTCATTTATTTCCCGTGCTTTGATCTCTGTTGGCGAATTTCCTCTTTTGGTGATCCATTTATGTAAAATATCACATGGGTTTATTACTGGGAGACAGGCAACACAACTACACGCCTTGCTGTCTGTGTATAAACTGAAGAGCAGATGTTAGTGACCAGTCACCAACAGGCTTTAAGAGGAAGAGAATGACTGGTTAGAGATCGTGATGCACGTCTGTTATTTATAAAGTGATTTGTGGTATAACAAGCTAGAAGCAAACTTTGTGCTTTATGAAATTGCACAGTTAATAAACTGTCCTAACTGAAATCTGAACCACCGTGTTGGGGGCTGGAGCTATTTAAAACATAGTAACTAGGCCAGGGGTCCTGGCTCATACCTGTAATCCCAGCACTTTGGGGAGATCGAGACAGGTGGATCCCTTGAGGCCAGGAGTTTGAGACCAGCCTGGTCAACATGGTGAAATCTCATCTCTACTAAAAATACAAAAATTAGCTGGGCATGGTGGTGGGTGCCTGGAATCGCAGGCTACTCCAGAGGCTGAGGCAGGAGAATTGCTTGAACCTGGGAAGTGGAGATCACAGTGAGCCGCGATCACACCACTGCACTCCAGCCTGAGCAACAGAGTGAGACTCCATCTCAAAAATAAAGAAAATAAATAAACCATAATAACTGAAATTTGTGCATATCAGAACTATACAAAGCAAGGCCTGCCTACAATTCCTACATAATCAACTTAAAAAACTGTTAAGTTTGGGAGGCTGAGGCAGGCAGATCACGAGGTCAGGAGATCGAGACCATCCTGGCTAACATGGTGAAGCCCTGTCTCTACTAAAAACACAAAAAATTAGCCGTGCTTGGTGGTGGGCACCTGTGGTCCCAGCTACTCAGGAGGCTGAGGCAGGAGAGTGGCGTGAACCTGGCAGGCAGAGCTTGCAGTGAGCCGAGATTGTGCCACTGCACTCCAGCCTGGGCGACAGAGCGAGACCCCGTCTCAAAACAAAACAAACAAACAAACAAAACACTGTTAAGTTCATTTGTTCATTGTTACTTTCCTTTTTTTTGGTGGAGGGGGGGGGTGCCTCAAGCCTCGCAAAGTGCTGGGATTATAGGCGTGAGCCACCACACCTGGCCATTACTTTCAACTTTTAAAGGATAAGTTCCTCCCTCAACTTTTTAAAATGTTATTTCATAATTATATATCACATTTAATAGTTCCAAAGTAAGCCACAAAGCAAGGTACATTCAGGAAAGTCTAGCTTCTATCGTTCTCTCCTCCATCTGTTCTCTTCAATCAGTTTTTAAGTTTGCTTTCTATTCGTTATTCTTTTAATATAAGCAAATGAATGCACATTTTCATTTTTTTCTACCCTTACTAAAGGTAGCATTATTGTACATGTTGTCCTATACCTTACTTTAAAAAATAATATCTCTTAGAGATTATGCAACAGTAGAAAATAGTCCATTTCCTTTTACAGGTATATTAATACTCTAGTGTGTTGAAATCCCAAATGGGTTTCCTTTTTTATTTTCTTAGAGATGGGGTCTCACTACAATGCCCAGGCTGGAATGCAGTGGCTATCCATCTGGCATAATCACAGCACACTGCGGCCTCAAACTATACTACCACCTTAGACTCCCAAGTAATTGGGATTACAAGGCATGTACCGCCATGCCCAGCTGGGTTTTTTAAGCCAACTCTTTATTGATATTTAGATTTTTCCACTCTTTTGCTATTACATATAGTTTGTAATGAATAGACTTCTGGACATTTTTTTCATATTTTGCCAGTGTATCTTAGAGTTAGATTCCTAGGGGCCAGGTGCAGTGGCTCACACCTGTAATCCCAGCACTTTAGGAGGCAGAGGCAGGTGGATCACTGGAGGCCAGGAGTTCAAGACCAGTCTGGCCAACATGGTAAAACCCCATCTCTACTAAAAACACAAGAATTAGCCGGGTGTGGTGGCACATGCCTGTAGTCCCACCTACTCGGCAGGCTGAGGCAGGAGAATCACTTGAACCCAGGAGGCAGAGGTTGCAGTGAGCTGAGGCCACGTCACTGCACTCCAGCCTGGGCAACAGAGTGAGACTCTGTCTCAAAAGAGTTAGATTCCTAGGGAGATAGATTTCTAGAAGTGAGCCTGGCTGACCAAAGGGTAAATGCAAATGTTATTTTGCTACATATTGTCAAATTCTCCTAATACAGTCATAGTATTTTGCGTTCCCACCAGCTATGTATGTAAGCACAGTATCTTCCCCCTACAACCTTTTCAATAAGACATGTTGTCAAACTTTATTTTTTGCCACTCCGATAGACAAGATATGATAGCTAAATGTAGTTTTCATTTGCATCTCTCTTTTTATGCATGACTGAGTATCTTTTCATATTAAAGGAGCATTTAAAAGTGTAGCTGTTCTGACAGGTTTGATATTTTAAAATAAGAACTTTCAAATAAAATTTTCACAAAGATAAAAAGGACTATTGAAATCCTCCTTAAAAATCTGAGTAATTTAAAAACTCTCCCACCCCCACATAGGTTTTATTCGTATCAGTTCATCTAATCAACACCTATTTATTGAGGATTTTGCTACAGCAGGAGCTTCCCAGTGTGTTAAGAGAAGCAGGGGCAGGCTGGGCAGTGGCTCATCCCTGTAATCCCAGCACTTTGGGAGGCCGAGGCGGGAGGATCACCTGAGGTCAAGGAGTTCGAGACCAGCCTGGTGAACATGGCAAAACCCCGTCTCTACTAAAATTACAAAATTCAGCCGGGCTTCGTGGCACATGCCTGTAATCCCAGCTACTCGGGAGGCTGAGGCAGGAGAATGACTTGAACTCAAGAGGCGGAGGTTGCAGTGAGTCGAGATCACGCCACTGCACTCCAGCCTGGGCGACAGAGCAAGATTCTGTCTCAAAAAAATAAAAAGAGAGGCAGAGGCAAAGGAGACGGTATTCAGTGATTCCAGTGGTTTGAAGACCACTGGAGTTGAGAGTACATGAGGCAAACTTTCAATGGGGAACACTTCATTGGACCACTAGAGGAATAGTTTTCTGGGCTTTAGAGACAGTCTGAGCAAAGAGTTATACCTGGTCAAAACAGAACAAGCCTGTTTTCTATTTAAAAAGGGAAGTGGGAGATAAGGTGAGCTACAAGTGCTAGAAAATTATGGTGGGAAAAGCAGAGACAGACTAACCAAATGTTTAGAAATACTGCTGTAATAAAACCTTGTAACTAGGCACCTCCAGTAAAACATAATACGCAACACTGATTACAAAGTAAATCCAAGAAAAGGTAGCAAGAGCTCATGAAGGTCTTCTGGCTACAGACAAGGATATATCCCACCTTAAGTGGAATCATTTCTACTCAGGATTAAAATCCAAGAAACAAGCAGGCTCACTATGAAACTTTATATTATATTGGTTGCACCACTGCACTCCAGCTTGGGCAACAGAGCAAGACCCTGTCTCCAAAAGAATAAAAATTTAAAAAGAAACTACACTATGAAATTTACTAGACAGATTCTATCATAATATAAAAGTGAATGTAGGCCGGGCATGGTGGCTCACACCTATAATCCCAGCACTTTGGGAGGCCGAGGTGGGTGGATCATGAAGTCAGGAGTTCAAGACCAGCCTGACCAATATGGTGAAACCCCGTCTCTACTAAAAATACAAAAATCAGCTGGGCATGGTGGCACGCGTCTGTAGTCCCAGCTCTTCGGGAGGCTGAGGCAGGAGAATCGCTTGAACCCAGGAGGTGGAGGTTGCAGTGAGCCGAGGTTGTGCCACTGCACTCCAGCCTAGCTGACAGAGCGAGACTCCATCTCAAAAAAAAAAAAAAAAAAAAAAAAGTGAATGTAATGAGAAGTAAGAGAAGTAAGCTACCATCAATGAGACATCATTTTAAAAAAATTCTAACATTCTTTGATTGAAATAATTATGCTTCTAAACAAAAGCCCAAATACAACTAAACCACATCATAGCTTATTTCTCATTAAACCTATCAGCAACCATTTACCATCTTCCTTCCACCCACGATTAAGTCAACACAACCCAGGGCAGAGTACACGTCTGACTCATCTATGTATCCCCTCACAGCACAGTGTGCAGTAGGCACTCGATAAATACTTGGTGTGTGAAACAAAGAAAACACTCTCCCATAGCAACGTGCCCAGACTCTTCTATGGGAGGACCTTTCTCCAGAATTATGTTAGGGCAACTCCCTGGTAAACCTTTCAAAGCAATTCAACAAACATTTATTGAGTGCCCAGTATGTGCCAGTGTTAGGTACTATTCTTGGCAATGGGATGTAAAGATGAGTAACACATAGTCCTTAACACCCTGAGGGGACCCAGTCTAGTATGAGAAACACAGACTATAAAATACAATAGGAAAACGCCACAGCAGAGATAAGACACCATGGGAACACAGGTGAAGGAACAGGTAATTATGCAGGGGGTGAGGGAAAAAGGTGAGGTTGGAGAATCCACAGAAATGCAATTCCAGCCCCCTCCTAACACACATGCTCACACTCCCTCTAAAACAATACAGAAGCCCCCCTTATCTGCAGTTTCACTTTCCATGGTTTCAGTTACCCACAGTCATCCAAGGTCTAAAAATATTAAATGGAAAATTCCACAAATAAGCAATTCATAAGTTTTAAATTGCACACAATTCTAAGTAGTGTGATGAAATTTCTCGCTGTCCTCTCCGTCCCACCTGGGACGTGAATCATCCCTTTGTCCAGTATATCTACACTACAGATACTACTCACCTGTAAGTCACTCAGTAGCTGTTTCAGTTATGAGATTGAAAATACATACTATATAGTGTATAGGGTGCAGTACTATCTGTGACTTCAGGACTCACTGGGGGTCTTAGAATGTATCTGTCTCATATGGGGGGACTACTTACTGTATTTGAAAAACAGAAACATGATCAAGTTATTCCACTGCAAATAGGCCTTCATGGATTTCCAACAGGTCAAAGATTATTTCCATGCAATAAAATGCCCACAGGCACCATCACCTGCATTTATTGGGCACTTGCTGTGTGCCAGACATTGTTCCAAGAATTTCCTAAGTATTAAGTTACTTAATCACTACAATAACCTGACAAGGTAGGTGCTATCATCATTTCAGTGTTACAGATGAGGAAACTGAGGCACAAAGAGTTACAAACCTTGCCCTAGACATCAGGTATGGGCATGTGAGACACCGAGGTAGGCACCCAGTTCTGGCTCCAGAGCCCATTTCTTTTTCTTAACTTTTACTTTAGGTTCAGGGGTACACATGCAAGTTTGTTATACAGGTAAATTGCATGTTGTGGGAGCTTGGTGCACAGATTATTTCGTCACCCAGGTAATAAGCATAGTACATGTTAGGTCATTTTTCAATCCTCCCCCTCCATCCTCTGGTAGGGCCCTGGGGTCTGTTGTTCCCTTCTTTCTGTCCATATGTACTTGATATTTAGCTTCCGCTTGTGAGAACATGTGGTATTCGGTTTTCTGTTTCTGAGTTAGTTTGCTTAGGATAATGACCTCCAGCTCCATGCACATTGATGCAAAGGACATGATCTCATTCTTTTTCATGGGTGCGTGATATGACATGGTGTATATGTACCACATTTTCTTTATCTAGTCTACCACTGGCACCTAGGTTGATTCCATGGTTGATTCCATAATGCGGAGCGCCTTTCTACACCACCCACCTCTCTGCCTCCTTACCTGCCTCTGGGCTCCTTGCAATGCAAAATGCCAGTAATAATACCAGAATGTGAGTATAGATGTGTTAAATACTGTGAACACAACCCAAATTGTTTTAAACCTCTGTGCTTCTGCATGGAAAGCCCTACAGCCAACCCTCCCCACATCCTTCCACTGCAGGGCAATAAAAACTCTGTGTGCCCCTCCCACTACAGAAGTTCCCTTCCTTGTTACATCCCTCCATCATTGAACTTAACACACTGTATTATAACCATTCATTTACATTTACACTTCTTCTCGTAGGCCTGCTATACTCACCCTATAATAATTATTATATGATACCGTAATTACTTGTTTAAATGTCTTTTTTAAAATGTCACCTCCTCAAAGAGGCCAATCCTGACCCTCCTCTTTATCTAAAATTGATCTTCATGCCCTCTCAAGTCACTTGTTTTCTCAGATCAAAGGGGCTTTTCCCCCTTCACAGTACTTCTCATAGGTCAATTTTAAATATTTGACTTCTGTCTCCCCCAATACAACATACACCTTATGGGGGCAAAAGAATAACTGTGTTTTATTTGTCACTGTATTTTCAACACCTAACTCTGATAAGGAGGTAGTATTAAGTGTTTATATACCTGCATCCTTGTATTAGTTCCTTGGGGGGAGAAAAAAAAGGCTGTCTTAATGAGTTTTGTATCCTCAACACACAGCATGTGGGAAAACCTCAATAACTATTTGTTGGACTGAAACCAAATAAAGATTAAGGTGGAAGACTGAGCACAGTGGCTCACACCTGTAATCCCAGCACTTTGGGAGGCCGAGGCAGGAGGATCACTTGAGACCAGGAGTTCGAGACCAGCCTGGGCAATGTTGTGAAACCTCATCTCAACAAGAAATATAAAAATTAGCTATGTGTGGTGGTGTGCACCTGTAGTCCCAGCTACTTGGGAGGTGGAGGTGGGAGTATGGCTTGAGCCCAGGAGGTCAAGGCTGCAGTGGGTAGAGACTGCACCACTGCACTCCAGCCTGGGTAACAGAGTGAGACGCTATCTCAAAAACAAAACAAACAAAAAAAGAGGTTAAGGTGGGATAAATAGGATTTCCCTAAAAAAACAAAGTAGTGTCGGAAGGGACCAATATGGTCAGAAACACAGAGGAATGGGAAAACATGGCTTTTGGGGGAAAGGAGCAAAAACTGAGGTTGTATTATAGGGTGCACAAGAGAGAAGTAGGAAAAGCACTAAAGAGATAAGTGCGTATTGGGTTGCAAAGAGACTTGCAATAGTTTTCTTTAGGGAGCATAATGATCTATTAGGGAGTTTTTCAAGCAGTCATGGTTTTACAAAAATCTTTATAGCACGGACACAGGGGGATGGAAGAGGCAACAGTTAGCTGGAGAATATCACTCATAAGATGAAAGAGGGTAAGGAAAAAGCCTAGAATTTGAAACCAGAAACGATGGCAAAATACCTTCACCACAAACCGACAACTTGGTTTTTGTATTACGACGCCCGTTTTAGTCACCAAAGCTCTTTTCTGAATTTAACTTAACGTGAGCAAAACACCGTGTACAGCTCTTTATGTATGAAATGTTTTCCTGTGATTTCACAACACTGGCCTTTAAAATATTTTACATGACTATTGCTAATTAGAAAAAATACCATCCTTTCAGGAAATCAGAAGTTAGCAATTTTGGATGGCATTTCCTGTCTAATACCTTCATCTGCACTTCAAATCTTGGAAAAACAGCAGCTTCATAGCAACCAGTTACAATGGCAGAACAGCCACAGAAGGAGAATATATTTAATATAAATCCCTGCATTTAAACAAACTAAAAAGTTTAAGAAGGATAAAATTTAAATAAATGAGTTGGGCAGGGCATGTTGGCTCAAGACTGTATAATCCCAGCACTTTGGGAGACCGAGGCAGGCGCATCCTGAGGTCAGGAGTTAGAGTCCAATCTGGCCAACATGGTAAAACCCCGTCTCTACTAAAAATACAAAAAAATTAGCCCGGCGTGGTGGCATGTGCCTGTAACTCCAGCCACTTGGGAGGCTGAGGCAGGAGAATCACTTGAAGCTGGGAGGCAGAGGTTGCAGTGAGCCAAGATCACACCACTGCACTCCAGCCTGGGCAACAGAAGCGAAAGCACCATCTCAAAAATAAATAAATAAATAAGTTGAATTCTGCCATAGCACTGCTCCAAGTAAGATGGCATGACCCAAAGGGCCCCAAAAGAAAAAGAATTACCAGGGTTCTCATTAGAAAGATTTCATCCGTGACACTTTGCTGTTTTCTATGATCCTTTAACACTTTATTTGCTCTTCTGCTAGAGCGTTTATCACATTGTTTCACAATCTGGCTGTGTGCTTATCTGCCAGGTTAAACAGAACAGGGACTCCCATTTTTCTATTCTCGTATTCTCTCCCATAGGTCATCTTTGATCTATCAGATTTTAAGGCATCATCTGACAGCAGATCTTCAATAAGTATCTGTGGCATGAAGGAAAAGGGAAAGGAAAAGGGAAAGGAAAAAGGAAAGGAAGAAAGGAAGAAAAGAAAAAAAAGAAAGGAAAAGAGAAAAGAGAAAGGAAAAAAGAAAAGAAAAGAAAGAAAACGTTAACTCTGGAAAAGGCAGGTCCTCATAATAAACATTTGCTGAGTCTAGGTAAGAAATCAGCAGACCTGTTATTTGGATACTTCCTTTCTCTTTACCAAATCAATCTGCTTCCAGAAATAAATAAGGAAAAAGACAAGTTGCTACACCAGTCCAAATTCAATACATTAAAAAATTTTGGCCATACCATAACCTACATACTTCCTTTTTTCTCTACCGTAAGGGGTGTAGTAATTTAAGGGGGAAAAAAATTAAGAGACCAACTGAGGCAGAATTGAGAAGCCCAATGTAAAATTCAGCATAAACTACCAAGCAATTCTGCAGATTATGTCTATAGTACACCACACCGAAACCTCACCCTCATCCTGCCCCCTTATACAAAAGGCTGCAGCACCCAGGTGTTAACGGGCATGGGATCCAACCAAACTGGTCTCTCCACCTCCAGCTCTGCCAATGCTAATCCACTCCACAGTTGGCTGCCAAAGGAACCTCCCTACAGCACAGCCTGGGATCAACAGGCCCCAAGTGAAATAATCTTCCCCCACCCTTCACTGCCTCCGTGCAGCAGTGCACTCCAAGTTGATTGCAACACCAAGGTCAGAAGCCACAAGCAGTATCTTTGACCCCCTCCCCACACACACAAACTCTTACAAATCCCAGAGATTGTCCTTTTTCAGTTTCTTCTCTCCCTTTCCTTTTCTTGTTCACCCTGCTTTCAATCCCTCTTCTAGGGCTACTAGCCCTAACCTAGATCAGCTATAACCAACAGAAATATAATGGGGGTTACTAATGCACTTTTAAATTTGCAAGTAGCCACATTAAAAAGGTAAAAAACGAAAGCAGTGGAATAAATCTAAATAATATTAGGCCAGGTGTGCTAGCTCAGGCCTGTAATCCCAGCACTTTGGGAGGTAGATATGGGCAGATCACTTGAGGCCAGGAGTTTGAGACCAGCCTGGCCAACATAGCAAAACCCTGTCTCTACTAAAAATTCAAAAAAATTAGCTGGGTGTAGTGGTGCACGCCTGTAATCCTGGCTACTTGAGAGGCTGAGGCAAGAGAATCACTTGAACCCAGGAGATGGAGGTTACAGTGACCTGAGATCACACCATAGCACTCCAGCCTGGGCAATACAGTGAGGCTCTGTCTCAAGATAAATTAAAATAAATATAATATTAAATTTATAACCCAAAACTGTCTTCATTTTAACTTGTAATTAAAGTTGTTGAGATATTTCACATTTTTTTCCCAGTCTTTGAAATCTGTATTATACCATGACATCTCTACTCTAACCAGCCACATTTCAAGTGCTCAGAAGTCACATATGGCCAATGACTACCATAGTAGACAGTTCAGGCTTAGATGGAATGGTTCCATCTACTTTTCCCACTGCCTTCCTCTTTCTTTTCTCTTAAAAATACTTTAACCTCAGCTATAACAGACCATTCTGGTAATGGAAGAAAATGTAACAGACCCATTTTCCTTCCATGTCACTTCTCTGGCTCTCCCTTAAGCATAAAATGCCTGCTTTTCTGCTCTTCAAACTTTTTTTTTTTTTTTTTTTTTTTTTTTTTGAGACAAGCTCTGGCTCTGCCCAGGTTAGAGTGCCATGCAATCACAGCTCACAGGAGCCTCGACCTCCTGGGCTCAAGTGATTCTCCCACTTCAACCTCCCATGTAGCTGAGTCTACAGGCATGTGCCACTATTCCCGACTAATCTTTTGAAGTTTTTGTAGAGATGGAGTCTCACTTTGTTGCCCAGGCTGGTCTCAAATTCCTGGGCTCAAGTGATCCTCCAGTCTTAGCCTCCCCAAGTGCTGGGATAATAGGCATAAGCCAACCTACCCAGCGCCCCTTCAAACTTTAACACCCAGTTGAAATACCTGCTGTCTCATTCAGGAAGGCTTTCCCATACTGTCCACTCATAATTCATCTCTACCTCCTTTGTACTTCCACATCATCTTGCAACTCTAACATTAGTGTTTTTGCCCATAGTGTCCAATAGACTGTAAGCTCCTTAAAGATAGAGTATTGCTATTTATCTAATAGCTCTAAAAGAATGCAGCATAGTGCTTTGCACACAGCAGACCTTTGATAAGCTTCTGATAAAGCAAACTCTAATTTACCAGCCTTATAATAGACATGTGTACCCTTAATATCAGTGCATCTGCAAGGAACAGCTGGTTCCAAGGTAAGCTAAACTACTGCTTAATTCATATCTGCTAGCAACACAAGGACCAAATGTATGGGTGCATTCCCACCTTGTTATGGAAGAAGTGACACTAACTCATACTGACTCAGAATTCTAGAAAATATCATAAATCAGAGGCATCATCTTCATGCAAGAAGACTGAGATCAGTCACAATAACTGATCAGAGACCTAGCTATTAAAAATAACATGTTATAATGCATGCTAGGAAACGGAAATTCCCAGATAGCTTCCTCTGAAAAACAGAGCACCGAAGTTGCCACTGGGAAAACTCAGGACCTGGTCCCTGCTTACAGTGTTTTATGTTCCTGTGCCAAACATTTGACTTTCTCCATTAGTGAAATGGGAGGGAAAGATAATCCCCATCCACTGCAAGGATAGTTTCCCCTAATGTGCTTTTCCCATGCTCACCGCAGTGTAAACCCCACAAAGCTTCCCAAGTGATCCTGTTAAAGGGCATTTGAAGAGTGCTACTCCTCTGATGGAACCCTCAAATGGCTTTCTCTCTCACTCCAACAACTTTCCAACGGCCGACAAGGCCCTCCACAATCTGGCCTCCTGCCAGCTCCCAAACCTCATCCCAAACACCCTCCTCAACATTCTGCTCCAGCCTCACTGGCTACCTTGCTGTTCCACAAAAATACAAAGCACACACTGCCTCAGGGCCTATGCACAAGCTCCCCCTCGCCTGCAAAGTTCCCTCCACCCCCAGCTCCAGTTCTATCTGGCAAACTTCCTCAGGTCTCTGCTCGAACATAACCTTAGCAGCAGCACCTTTCCTGATGACTAGATATAAAACAGAACACCTTTCCTTCATCCAGCTGACACTCTTTACCCTCACCAAACCTGCTTTATAACCCTGATATGATTCATGTTTATTTTTCATCTATAATACATGTTTACCCATACACACTAGGATGGAAACTCCAGGAAAGCAGGATCTCCTTTGTCTTGTTTTGCTACTGCATCCTCCCTACATAGAACAATACCTAGAATGCAACAAGCGCTCCAAATATTTTTAACTAAAAATAAAAATATGTACCCTTAAGTAAAGGAGCAACATTTTTATCTTCTTAAGGAGGTAGCAGGATGGGGACTCATTCCTTCATTTTTTCAAATAACATTCTAGGAAGTGTTTCCACTTTAGTATCTTTGTTGTTGTTGTTGTAGAGACGAGGTCTTGCCTTGCCATGTTACCCACGCTGGTCTGGAACTCTTCACCTCAAGCAATCCTGCTGCCTTGGCTTCCCAAAGTGCTGGGATTACAAGTGTGAGCCACTATGCCTGGCCCACTTTAATATCTTAAACTATAAAATTGATATATGCACATTATGGGAAAAGAACAAACAACAAATATTACCCTTCCACGTATAATTTTTTAAAAGTTATAACATTAAAAAAACTAAATAATTATATTCCCCCAAAAGATTCATGTTGCTGGAGTTGGTGCACCCCCTTTCAGACCTGTTCTATGAATGTGTTTATCTAGGTAGATATAGCTCTAGCTTCCTACCCACAAAAATAAGATATCTTTGATTCTGTTCTGTAATTTGTATACTATATCATGCAATCTTGATGCACATATAAACTATCTTACCTTTTTTTTTTTTTTTTTTGAGACGGAGTCTCGCTCTTCCGCCCAGGCCAGAGTGCAGTGGTGCTATCTCGGCTCACTGCAAGCTCCGCCTCCCGGGTTCACGCCATTCTTCCGCCTCAGCCTCCCGAGTAGCTGGGACTATAGGCACCCGCCCCGGCGCCCAGCTCATTTTTTGTATTGTTAGTAGAGACGGGGTTTCACCGTGTTAGCCAGGATGGTCTCGATCTCCCGACCTCGTGATCCGCCTGCCTCGGCCTCCCTAAGTGCTGGGATTACAGGCGTGAGCCACCACGCCGGGCCTATCTTACCCTTTTTTTTTTTAACAACTATTTCATTTCTATTTTGTAGGTACATCATAACATAGAATCTAATCCCCTATTGATAAACCGATTCAACTGTTTTTTGTTTTGTTCTGTTTTTGAGATGGAAGCTCGCTCTGTTGCCCAGGCTGGAGTGCAGTGGCACAATCTCAGCTCACTGCAACCTCTGCCTCCTGGGTTCAAGCAATTCTCCTGCCTCAGCCTCCTGAGTAGCTGGGACTACAGGCACGTGCCACCACGCCAAGCTAATTTTTTGTGTTTTTAGTAGAGACAAGGTTTCACCATGTTAGCCAGGATGGGTCTTGATCTCCTGACCTCATGATCCGCCTGCCTCAGCCTCCCAAAGTGCTGGGATTACAGGCGTGAGCCACCACGCCTGGACTCAACTGTCTTTCATTTGAAAAGAAAAAAAGTCTCAAGCCAAATGCACCCTCTGGTCAAGACAGGATGTCACCTACACATCCTGAACTGAGCAGAAGCTGATGCAGATTCCTGAAGGAACAAGGAGGCGCTCCGTGGAGAGGCTACCACGTGAGACCTAAGACCAATGAACACAATCTTCTGCTCCTACAAAATGGCCCCTTCTCTCTCCTTTTTTCTTCACAATCCAGCAAGCAATTACAAAACTAGAGATGACTCTGGGGCCCACTGTGCCATCTCACTCTGTCATCTTCTGCTCCTTTTTTCCCTTATGAAAGATGAATTATCCCAACCCAGCACCAACCCCCCACATGGGCTGAGAAAAGTGACACCTGTTGATTCTCCTTCACCCATGTGTTATGCAAAAGATATCCAAGAAGGGTCCCCCTGAGACCCTCCAATGGCAGACTTTATTTCCTGAGCTGCCTTCGTGATTTATATAGCAGTTTCTCCCCCTCTTCCGTCCCCAGCAGTGATCCCAGAACAGGATGTTGCTCATAAATCTTTTCCCTCAGCTTACCTACCACCCACTGACCAGCTTATTTTTACAAGAGTTGCTATTTCCCATACTCCTTCAGTGTAAGACCCCTATGTAAGGTCACAGGAGTTTTGTTCTTGAGGTCCTTGCCCAGCATAAAAATAGGGCACAGTCGAAATATCATACTTCTGCCATTGTGAATACTGAAAACTGTACGAACGTCTATGAAGGAACGTCAATGTTATTTTCAAAACTACATCCTAAATCCAGGGAGACAAAAAGCAGGCAAATCACTAAGAAGACATAACCATTTCTTGGTGGCAGAGGCCAATAATCATTCTTCTATAAATTATTTAATGTATTAATTGATTGAATTTCTACTGTGTCTGCTAGCTCATAATCAGCTGTCCAATGACAGAATCTTGTAAGGAAGATAAAAACAAAAACAATTTAAATGCCATAATAAAAGGTTGTATCTTTGAGAAATGGGAGACCATTACTGCCTGAGGGTAAGAGAGGAGGTTTCACGGAAGAGGTGACTGAATCCACAGTTTAACAGCATTTGATGTTCTGAACCTCTTCTCCCCACCTGCTCTTCCCTTGGCCAAGAGAGCACTCTCCTGGGTTTTGTCAGCTTCTTTATCAGCTCCATCTCAACCTCCTTACTAAGCCTTCTCTGCTACTTAGTTCCCACTAAGTTGCTACGTAGTTCAAGTTCCTGAGCACTCTCATCTGTTGGGAAATCTCATGCACAACTGTGATTCATTTTCTACTGAATAAATTGTGTCTTAAGCCCAGACCTTCCCCAATGAACTCTAGACTTAGAGAACCAATTGCCCACTTAACATCTCCACTTGCCAGGATTTTCACAGGCATTTCAAACCTGGACTACTCAAAAAGGAACTTGTACCACTCTCAGTCTTTCCCATCTTTCAGCATCTCCCAGTGACAAAACCAATGATTAAGAATTGTTCTTGAGTCTTCTGTTTCATGCATCCAACCTACCTATCTTTTCTCATTGTTTACAAAAAAAAAAAAATCATCCAGAGCCCACTGGATTCTCTTCAGCTCTCCCATGCACTACTTACTTCATATCCCCACAATGGGTTGCTTTGCTTCTGCTCCTGCCCATGTCCCACTAAACTCCATTCTCCATTTGACAAGCGACCTTTTAAAATCATATTAAACCACTAACATATTTAAAATAGTTTGATGGCTTCCCATTACCCTAAATACATGGTCAAATTTCTTAGCATGGCTCACCAGATCACTTCCTGACCTGGTGCTCTCTGCTCCAGCTACAGTGAACTTCATTCAGTTCCTCAAAAGGGCCCTACGGTTTACTTCTGTTTTGTTTTTTCTTTTCGCCCAAGTCTTCACAAGTATGGTTCCTTTATCTGGAACACACATCTCTCTTTTATCCACTCCTCCACCCAATTTTTTCAACTCTAAACATACATCAGTGTTCTGCCTAACTGCCTCTTCCAAGAAGTCTTCTCTGATTAGTCCTCAAATCTATGCTGAGGTACTACTCCTACATGTTCCTGTAAAACCCTGTATTTCCCTGATAGCACTGACAGACAAAGGGATGGACTGATGAAGCAGGGATGGGAGGAAGGAATAGTATATGCCAAGGCACAGTACTTGAATGACAAAAGCCTGTATATGGAATTGAGAGATCTTCTATAAAGCAAGGCACCAAGGTTGGTAGAAGGACAGTAGTGATGGGAGATGAGACTTGAAAAACAAGCTGAGGCCCAGGGGATAAAGGGCTTGAACACCACACTAAGGGAATCAAACTCTAAAGTGTAGGAGATATGGTGCCCTGGAAGTTTTTAACTAGAGAAGCAAAAGGAATGTATGGGAAACTTCCCCATATAAGGAAGTCTCTCCTAATTATTATGGAACAGAAGAGGAGGAATGATTAAATTAGAATGGGGGATAATGGCTTACCTCTGGAGAAGTAGAGGAAGATGCCCACACGCTACAATCAACAAATCCTAAAGGCTCAACCAGCAGACTGAGCCAAGTAACTCTTAAGGAGTCAAAAATGCCCATTAGCCTAGTAATACTATGATTTTTTTTTTTTTCCTGTGAGCCATCTTGGAGCAAATATCTTCAAAATATACACAATATTTCTGCTTTTGGGGGAGCTACAGTGCTTTCCTGGCTTGAAAATGCAGATGTTGGAATCACCCACTGGGGGATGGTGAAGTCACTATGAAAGATTATACAGAGAAAATCCATAGTATAAAAAGAAAGCAAGTCAGAGATAGAGATTTGAGGAATGCCAACTTTTATCAAGCAAGACAAAAGGAAGTTTGGTGAGAAATTGAGAGGGCCTCATCAGAATCACAAGGCACAGGAGCCAGATTGTGTCTCAGAAATCAGAGAAGAGGAAGGATTGACAGCACCGCACACAAAATTCAATATATATCACTCTGCACACAGTAGGTGCTGAGCATTTACTGAAGTGCAAAATATACTGTAGTACCTCCATTTAGGGTGTGGGTATGTGTGTGGGTAAGATGCATATTTCTCAGATTATCAAGTCACTATCTCACTGTAGAAACTACCACCTTGCACGTATCCCAGAACTTAAAAAAAAAAAAAAAGGAAAGAAAAAAGAAACTAACTACCACCCTGGGGAAGAGGGGAGAATACAGCACACCAAAAACCACATTCATTCCCTGAATCAATGGATGACAGCTCTGAGTTCTCTTAAAAAGAAACTACTTTATTTCATACATATCATTACCCTCCAATTTTCTGAATTGGGAAGTTTAATGCATCTTGTCTTCATTAAGGAGAAACCTTGCTCAAGTGTGAAAAGGCATTAGTATGAGAAGGTCATGTGAGTGGGTGTGAGGGACAGGGGTGCAATGAATTCAGCAATGACAAGCACTGATGGGGGAGAAAGGCCTTGGGAGAAGGGAAGGCGTATGCAAATACCCATGGGCTGCAATCAGCAAATCCAAAGCCTCAACCAGCAGACTGACTGAGCCAAGTAACTCTTAAGGAGTCAAAAATGCCCATTAGCCTAATAATGATACTATCAATTATTTTTTTTCTGTGAGCCATCTTGGAGCAAATATCTTCAAAATACAGACAATACTCCTGGGTTTTTTGGCTACAATGCTTTCCTAGATATAGACTTAGAATGCAAAATGAAGAGGGGGAATTCCCTCTACAGGCTATACCCTTCACTTCCCTTTTGCTAATAGGTGGATAAGAGAAGAGGCTTAGCAAGTGTGTGTAGAAACTGAACATTAATCCAAACCAAACACCCTGGTTAAAACAGACAAAAACACTGCTGTGAGAAAACATTGACAAATTAGCCGAAAAGTGAAATACAGGTAACCTGTAGGCACCATTGGCTCTAAGGCTTGCCTGTGCAAGGAATTTGTTTTTAAAAGGTCAATGAAGACAAATAGGTAGCAGTAAATCACTGTTTACATAATTCTGAAGACTTTATATAGATGCCTTAAAATGTAGTTTTCAACAGTTGAGTCAACAATGCGTAATTGTCTTAACAGTTACAGACTTTCACAGCAACACTAAGTTAACCCATTAGTAACAGAGTAAGAACTTTGGGTTGTTTTTCTAAGAAAGGTCAAATAAATACCCATTATAACCACCCTCCACATCAGCACTCCTCCATCTCTCTATGACAGCAACAATAACTCCAATAGCGGCAAACTCAAATCACTTATTAATTGCTGGTTATTTGCAAAACACAGAGATAGTGCTGAAGGATTAAATAGGTCTTTGGTATAAAAGATGTTTACGACTCAGACGGATATATGAGATGGAGGAAAATAATTACTAAATGTTTTATTAGTCTGTGTCTAATCAGGAGAGAGAAACCATACAATAATGCAAACAGAAATTTAATATTTAAAAATAGTAAGCTATGATAGAGGAATAACGAGAAGGATGTATATAACAGCCGGGCGCAGTGGCTCAGGCCTGTAATCCCAGCACTTTGGGAGGCTGAGGCAGGTGGATCACCTGAGCTCGGGAGTTCGAGACCAGCCTGACCAACGTGGAGAAACCCTGTCTCTACTAAAAATACAAAATTAGCCGGGCATAGTGGCACATGCCTGTAACCCCAGCTACTCAGGAGCTGAGGCAGGAGAATTGCTTGAACCCAGGAGGTGGAGGTTGTGGTGAGCAGAGGTTGCACCATTGCACTCCAGCCTGGGCAACAAGAGTGAAACTCCATCTCAAAAAAAAAAAAAAAAAGATGTATAGAACAACCCAGGCGGCTGGGTGCGGTGGCTCACACCTGTAATCCCAGCACTTTGGGAGGCCAAGGCAGGCGGATCATGAGGTCAGGAGATTGAGCCCATCCTGGCCAACACCCCATCTCTACTAAAAATAAAAAAAATTAGCTGGATGTGGTGGTGCGCACCTGCAATCCCAGCTACTCGGGAGACTGAGGCAGGAGAATGGCTTGAACCTGGGAGGCAGAGATTGCAGTGAGCCAAGATCACACCATTGCACCCTAGCCTGGTGACGGGGCGAGACTCCATCTCAAAAAAAAAAAAAACCAAAAGAACAACCCAGGCATGGTGGTTCATGCCTGTAATCCCAGCACTTTGGGAGGCCGAGGCAGGAGGACTGCTTGAGGCCAGGAGTTCAGAACTAGCTTGGGCAACATGGTGAGATCCCAGGTCTACAAAAAAATTGTACTAAAAAAAAAAAAAAAAAAAAACCAGTCTAGTCATGGTGACTCACACCTGTAATCATAGCATTTGGGAGGCCAAGGTGGGAAGATCACTTGAGCCCAGGAGATTGAGGCTGTAGTGAACCGTGACTGTGCAATGCTGCACTCCAGCCTGGACAACAGAGTGAGACACTGTCTCAAAAAAAAAAAAGAAATGAAAAGAAAAGGTGGTATTTCAGCTGAACCTTAAAGGATGACTAAGATATCAATAGACTGAGGAGCTGGGAAAGGGAGAGAAAACTCATTCCAGGTTGAGAAAACAGTTTCATTATTAACCCTGAGATCATTGGCAAACCACTTAACCCCTTTAAACTTCAAATGGAACTATCTGCCTGACCTACCCTATAAGATCTTTATAAGGTTAAAATACAATACTGGACTAGGAATAAGCTTTTTAAAAAGTTTAAAGCATTGGATGAAAAAGAGTAGATGCACATAGTAACCTACACATAGTAACCTGAACGCAAGCGCTAATGTGAACTCCCTGTGGACTAATCTACCTCCATCCCAGTTCCTTCCCTCCCCCATGGTACCAGTTTTTCTTCCCATCCCCTCTCCCTAGTTCCTAGTTGACACTTTTGACATCAAAGGCTCTCCACAAAGTCTTTGATGAATGAATGAATATTGGATTAAGAACAGAGAACTTCCATTCAAGATCAAACTAACCTGAAGGAAATATATGATTTCTATTTACTTAACCTAAAAGGATAAAAAGTATTATTAAATGAATACCTAGTTTCTTTACACATAGTTATCTATGCTTTTTTTTTTTTTTTTTTTTTTTTGAGATGGGAGTCTCACTCTGTCACCCAGGCTGGAGTACAGTAGTGTGATCTTAGCTCACTGTAACCTCTGCCTCCCAGGTTCGAGCAATTCTCGTGCCTCAGCCTCTCAAGTAGCTGGGATTACAGGTGCATGCCAGCACGCCTGGCTAATTTTTGTATTTCCTGAAGAGATGATGTTTCACCATGTTGCCCAGGCTGGTCTCGAACTCCTGGCCTCAAGTGATCCACCCACCTCAGCCTCTCAAAGTGCTGAGTTTTACAGGCATAAGCCACCGTGCTTGGCCTATACTTATCTTCATGTGTATCCTAAACTATATCTTAAAGTAATATTTTAGTAGTAAATATGAAATGAGAATTTTATTGAGAAATTAATTCATAGTGTCACCTACCATTTCAAATTACCCAAACTCTTAATAATGTAAGTTCCAGAGTAACAAAAATCAGACTCATCATCACTTGAACCCACAGTTGGCAGGAACACGTGATTATACAGTTCACATACAGTGCCAGGCGCTGGTCCCAGACAATGCTTCAGAGTTGGGTCTCAGAGCATGGGAAGGCTGCTTTCCCTATATTGCCCAATGGAACCCAAACTTTTAAACCTCAGGTGTTCTATGAACATCATGAAGTTCAAATTCTCCACACCCTAAATGCTGAAATTATCAAAGGCAAGTCAACAGAAAGGGAAGAAAATTAATATTTATTAAATGTCTATTGAGTACCAAGCACTCCATGGGCTTTAAATAAATGTATATATTTAGTCATTATTATCCTTATTTTACAAATGAAAGAACTAGAGTTTGGAGAGGTTAAGAAAATTGCCCAGCATTACCTGTCTCATGGGGATACAATTCAAACCCAGATCTAACTGATTTCAAAGCAAACTCTCTCTTAATTAGGCTGCCTCTCCAGGTGAAAATTTAGTGGCAGGGTCCCAGTGAGCCTGTAAGAAGTGTTCTACTCACCAGAGTCACTACTCCAGGTTGAGGACATGAGACAGGAAAAAAAAAAAAAAAAAAAAGAAACAATAACTTTTCCAAATATCCTGCTATCTCAGCTCGTGCATACCCTTTGCTCTCAACTCCCTGGCTTTGTCCTTTACCAGCTATTGAGGAACACATTTTAAAAAACATATATTTTAGACAAATAAAATATAGTCTCCACTCTCATTTATTGAATACTCTGTCCTACTGGAAAATTAAACCTCCATTCTTAAAGGACAATTTCATATCTCGTTTACCAAGTGCTCTGCGGGGGACAGTAAGCCTCTGCCGGATGTAGAAAGATAATCTAAAACGAGAACTGCTACAACTTCTAACCGTTGAGAGGTTGATTTATTAACAGGGCAGCCACCTGACATCTGTGCAATGCTGTAACAGACCACAAAGTGCTCTGAGAGAGCACACATCATCTCACCACGGCGATGAAAAGGGCTCTGAAACGCAAACTGGGGAGATTCTAATTTAGGATGGGAACCACCTCCATTCCTTAATTTTTTTTTTTTTGGGTAACTAATCTTTTCATCTTTTTCCTGCCATATGACTCAGTAGTGACCCCTATTCCCATCACTCAGCCCCCCCTTCCCACACCCCCACTATGCCCCAGTGCAAAGAAATCAGCTTTGTTCCTTCACTGGAAAAGATGCACGTTTCTCTGACTACTGTAGCCATGCTGAAACTATCTCCCAGGAACAACTTTTTATCTCATTCATGTCAAAAAAGAAGAGTCAGCTAGAGGGGATCTGTGGCCCAAAACTCAGAGTTTTAAACCAGAGCTCAGAAAGTATATCCCTGCCACCAGCTTCTACAAAGACAAAAAGGGAACAGGGACTTGAGGGTTCGGTGATGGAAGGAAGCTAGCCACTGATGAGTATCTTCCTTTTCCCTTTTTCATCTGTAAAACATAACCTCATAGGGAGTTACGAGATTGAAAGCATGCCTATCAAATACTTAGCACAGGTCTCGTCTGGTCACTGCGCTTATTAAATATTTTCATGGGTATCTGTACTCATGAAGGCAGGGTTAACTGGTGGTGTCTCCCACATTCTCACCATTCTGATATCAAAGGGGAATGGAAGGCCTTCAATACTCTCATCTGTAGTTGGAAATATTTCATCTGGAGGATAGCTTGTCTCTGTCAACCATCCAGGGATGCTGTGCTCCTTGCCAGCTGTGACCTCTGCTCCTTTCTCAAGTCTTACAACTTGCTTGGAAGATAGGCTCAGAAGGTGATTACTAAACATGTGGAAAGTCAGTAAACACATTAGAATTCTTGGGTGCCCAGTGCCTTACCAGTTCCACTCAGGTTACAAAGGGCAGTCTCTGACCTCCAGTTGTTTAAAATCTGGTAGGGCTTGGACTGACTGCAACAGAGGAGCCAAGTGGAAAAACAGCAAGAGATAAGCTTGGTGGGGAGCTGACTACACAACGAGAGTTTACTGAAGGTAGGCCTTAACTGCAAGCTGAATTTAGGCAGCAATTTGCAATCTTAATCCCATAAAATGTTGTACTATTTTTAGTAGCATTGCTTTCAACACCATAAAGTATGCACATACTTTAGTTTTGGTTAAACGTTTTGATCATACTCAAAGCCTTGTAACTACACAAATATAAAGAAATACTATCTTTAAACTCTAAAACCACTGCCTTTGGACTTCTTTTACAAAGAGCTAAGAATTTACTTAAAAACGGACCTTTTTCTACACTGCACAGGAATAAAGGAGTTTTCCTCCTGATGTCGGGTGGGAAAAGGAGTAAAGGAGCCCTCAGTCTCCTGAGAGGAGCAGCACTCAGAAATTCTGCCCTGTTCCACTTTACTGTAACAACGCAGCGGAACCCACTGCACTTCAATTCTCAACACATGCAGGATACCTGCTGGGCCGTCCTAGGCACAGCATTTTTCCAGTAGTGTTTGAGATTCAGGGTAAATCCTGGGTAACAGCGGCAGCTCCCTTGTAACCTTAAAGAAAGATCTTTTCCAGTGTGAACAGTCAAAATTCAAACGAAGAGCAGCCCCATGCTCACCACTAGGAAACCCTGTTTTCCTTTAATTAAAAAAAAATGTAGAGGTCATCCCTCAGCTTTGTTTACAAGTAATGAGTCCAGCAGCCCCCATTTATCACCCCTGGAGATTCTTTTACACTTTGATGTGAAAAGAGTCAGGGCCCATTGTGATTTCAACTACTCCAACAGCAGTCCTTTCATTTGCAAACGAGGCCCTGGCCCCCAGTTAGAACCAACTGTCAGAAAAAAATTCATTGCCTTTCCTTCCAATTATTTATCAGAGACAGAGAAGAGAAGCTGGCTTTAAGACATCGCTCAAGAAAAGGTTCCCAGCACACCCCTAATGCATTCCTTACCTTCCCTGGTTCTTTCAGCCCAGAATGCCCCTTTCCCAAATTCCACAGCTCATGAAAGCCAACCTCTGCTTTCAAACCATCCCATCTGGAATGACTTTCTCCTTTCAGCTTTACACAAAACCCAAGTGGCCTAACGTTACTTATCGTTTAGGTGTCCCTCCCTTAGGGCAACTCTGCAATTTTCTGCAGAGCAAGGAAAGTACCAGCACTCTGACTTCCCTAACAGACACTCAACCATCCCAACAATGAGTTCAAAAGGCACCCATTTTTTCCCCCATCTCTACCAGTCTCTCACATTGGGAAAAAAAAAAAAAAAAGAGTATTAAGGAACTTTAAAAGGGAGTGAGGCTTTAAAGATTTATTCAACTATTTAAGAAGTGTGAAGTAGCAGACAAAAAGAGGAAGGGACCCAACACAATAAAGAGGTTTCTTTTTTTAATGTAAACTTTTAAAATTAAAAATAACACACATTTTTTAAAGTGTAGAGCTCACATATAAATTTTCACAAAATGATATACTCTTGTAACCAACACCCAGATCAAAACAGAATACCGGCACTCCTGGGCAATTTAACTATTTTAAGCAAAAAGAGTTATCTTGACTCTAACCAAGCTTTTAGTGCTAACTTCCATTCTTCAGGAAATACATGGGATAGGCTGACAGTTTCTCAATCTCAGCACTATTGACATTAGAAACCAGGAAATTATTTGTGGTGGGGGCTGTTCTGTGCATTGTAGATGTTTAATAACATCCCTGGCCTCTACTCACTAGATTGTGATGACTAAAAATCTCTCTAGACATTGTCAAATGTCCCCTGGAAGAGAGGGAGACAAAATTGTCCTCCGTTGAGAACTACTGCTATATCGAAACAAGTTAAACGCATTAATAGGAAACAAACAAATCCAAGAAGTAGGACATACATGCAACTGTTTCCTTAACTAGTAAATGCTCCCACCCCACAAGTAAATAGAGTAAATGCTGCTCTGGATTAAGACTCAAGAAACAAAACCTAATGCAATATGTGAACTTTGGTTTCCTTGGATCAAGATGAAGACAATTTTATTATTTATTATTTATTTTATTTTATTTTTTTGAGAGAGTCTTACTCTGTCTCCCAGGCTGGAGTGCAGTGGCACAATCTCGGCTCACTGCAACCTCTGCCTCCTGGGTTGAAGTGGTTCGCCTGCCTCAGCCTCCCGAGTAGCTGGGACTACAGGCACGTACCACCACACCCGGCTAATTTTTTATTTTCAGTAGAGACGGGGTTTCACCATGTAGGTCAGGCTGGTCTCGAACTCCTGACCCTCAGGTGATTTACCCACCGTGGCCTCCCAAAATGCTGGAATTACAGGCATGAGCCACCGCACCTGGCTAAAAACAATTTTAAAAGACATTTTAAAACAATCTAGAAAGTTTGGGGCCGGGCACGGTGACTCACGCCTGTAATCCCAGCACTTTGGGAGGCTGAGTTGGGCAGATCACTTGAGGTCAGGAGTTTGAGACCAGCCTAACATGGTGAAACCCCGTTTCTACTAAAAATACAAAAAATTAGCCAGGCATGGTGATGTGCACCTGTAATCTCAGCTACTCGGGAGGCTGAGGCAGAAGAATTGCTTGAACCTGAGAGGTGGAAGTTGCAGTGAGCCCAGATGGCACCACTGCACTCCAGCTTGGGCAACAAGAGTGAAACTCCGTTTCAAAAAAAAAAAAAAAAAAAGGAAAAAAAAAGAAAAAGTTCAGAGATAGACTAGGTATTAGACGAATCCAAGATGTTAATTTTATTAGGTGTGAGACGGGTATGTATTTAAGTAGGGAAATGTCCATATATTTTTAGAGATGCACATAAAGTATGAAGAAGTGAAATGGAATTTGCTTTAAAATAGTTCAGCAAAGAAAAAGAGGAAAAAGGATAGTTGTTTGTTTGTTTTTTTAAGTATGGCAAAATCAGGCTAGGCGCAGTGGCTCAGGGCTGGGCATGGTGGCTCACGCCTGTAATCCCAGCACTTTGGGAGGCTGAGGTGGGAGGATCACCTGAGGTCAGGAGTTTGAGACCAGCCTGGCCAACATGGTGAAACCCTGTCTCTATTAAAAATAAAAAATTAGCCAGGTGTGGTGGCATGCACCTGTAGTCCCAGATACTTGGGAGGCTGGGGCAGGAGAATTGCTTGAACCCAAGAGGCAGAGGTTGCAGTGAGCGGAGATCACAACACTGCACTCCAGCCTGGGCAACAGAGTGAGATTCCATCTCAAGAAAAAAGAAAAAAAAATTTCCAACCAAAAATGAACTAGTTGCCCCAGCATTCCCCACAGTCTGATTCACATACTCAGCTATGAAGGTCTCTCCAGGCTTTTGCTTTCTCCAGTAAAATTAGGCTACTGATATGAATACCTTACAGAGCATAGAAAACATGACTCAGATTTTGAAATAATGGTTCCCCAGCTTCTGCAAAACAGGAGAAACTGGAACTGAAATTCTCTTCTTCCTAAAGTAGGCTGACTAGTATGGCTTCAGAAGAAAAGTACTGTTATAATGGAAGGCCTCCAGAAAGAAAAATGGTTCTTTCCCACATCAAGACAGTATAAAATTAGTATCCCTACAAAGACAATGTTATCCCCAGCAATTCAACTCAGTGTTCATCTTATCTACCACCTGGACCAAGTTTAGCACCTAAAATGATATAATGCCAAATGCCTGGACTAGTGTCCACTATACTGAAGGCACAAAATAATTATTAATATTAATTCATTCTCCTCCAACTCTCAGCCTCAGCAGGGAGTTCAGGGCTAAAGACAGAGAAAAAGTACATGCAAATAAACAAAAGTGACCCCAGGCACAATGGCTTGTGAGCTTAAAATAAAGATGACTCCAAACAGAAACCTACCTTAGAGGCAAGCAATTCCTCTCCTAAACATCTGCCCAAAAGAAATAAAAACATATGTGGAACATTGCTCATAAAAACAAAAAAGTGGATACTACCTAAATGTCCATTAACTGATGAATAGTACAAGATGGCACATCTATGCAATGGAATATTATTTAGCAATAAAAAGGACTGAAAAACTGATACATGCTGTAATATGGATGAATCTTGAAAACTTTATCCTAAGAAGCCAGTCACAAAAATTAACATATTGTATGATTGCACTTATATAAAATGTCCAGAATAGGCAAAATTATTGAGGATTAATAGTTACCTGGGGCTGGGAATGAAAATGGGATTAACTGTAAACAGGTAGTTCCATCTAGATGAAAATGTTCTAAAGCTGGATTGTAGTAATGGTTGCACAACTCAGTAAAGTTACTAAAAATTAAACTGTATACTTAAAATAGCTTGTAAATTACACCTCAATAAAGTTACTTCTGTTGTTTTCTAAGATGACTATGCCACTTGTAGAAGAGTAAATACTATGTAGCAGTGTCTTCTTATATGCAAAATTTAGCTTTCCTTTTGGGAAATAACTAATTCCAAAAAAATATTTCCTCAGTTCTCAGGTAAGTCTGAATCTAAACTCTTCTAAACCCATCAAACTGAGTGACTCATCTTAAACTACATATGACAATGACACATACTTATCAGTTAGCAATCATTTTCTAAAATGAGGGAAAACAAGGTGTTTTGTATAAGAAATATTATTGCACTTGTAAATCAGGCCAGAAACTAGTTCACTTGAAAATGCAGGAAACCTTATTTCCTCATTTCACAATTCCAGGTGTGCACTATTTACAATGCCCAGGCCAATCACTATTTCAGGAAAACATGGCCTACAGCCATTAAACTCTCTAGTAAGCATCTAGAAGTTTGGCCCTTGATTTACTTGCACAAAGAAGATCTGTCCATATAATAGGTGTTAATCTGTTGAACACCTTGTAGCTTCCTCAATAATTGAGAATTCTTCTCAATTAGGAGAGTTAAACATCAATTCAAACTCGAAAAGGAGAGCTTCCAGGGGCTACAGTATTCCATCCTATATGATGCAAGGTTAACAAAATCCAATCCCTCAAATCTTCCCAAAAACTGAAAAGCATCTCAGCAAATCTCCTAAAACACTTCAGTACCCACTCTGAATGGCAGAAGACGATAAAATCATGTCCCACCCATTTGGTGGTATAGCCTGAAATGACATTTACTTCATTCTTATGGTTTATTTTAACATGTTTTCCCCCTGTCCTCAAGTAAAAAATTTCCCAGAATATATCCCAACTTTACTCTCTGGCTTCAGTTACCTGGGCCCAATTTCAGAAGAATGTAATTTAGCACACACTTTGTAAAAATTAATTTTAGTTTCAAGATTCCAAGGAGAAAATGAGACATTTCAAGCAGTTGATACAAAAGAGTAAGAAGGGGAACATGTTAGTGAAATGGCAAAAAGGCACATTCTCTCTTTCAATAAGGAAAAAGAAATTAGAAAGTCCAAGCAAAGCAAAAGCACTATTCAAAGATGAAGCAATTTAAAATTTGGCGTTTGAACAATTTATTCAGTTAATGATAGTTCATTAGTCCTAATCAATATGAACATTCTGTTCAAGTGGTATTTGAGTTGACGCTGGAGGAGAAATAAAATCCTAGACACGATTTTCCTTCTCAATCAAAACAATGTAAATAATGCTTATTGGTTTTTCCACTTTTATTGTCATTTTAAAGACAAAGCTTGCAAGGGCACAAATAATCATAAAATAAAATAGGCTATTAATCTGGAAATCTGGATAATTTAAAACCAAAAGCAGAAAGAATAGCTGGAGGGTAGATGACAGTCACAAGGTGGAACAAAAAGGATAATTACATTATCATCTTAGACTATGAGAAGTTGATGGGAAAAGAATGTAAAAGGTAAAGTGATTACATAAGTAATATACTAATATAAAATATATGATAAAGATATTTAAATATATTGAACAGAAGAAATAAAAATACCCCATGGGCTTGAACTGCACAAGTCCATTGACATGGATTTTCTTCTGCTTCAGAGACATGAAGACTTTCCTCTTTCACTCAGCATAAAGAGGATGAGAATGAAGACCTTTATGATGATCCACTTCCACTTAATGAACAGTAAATACATTTTATCTTAAGATTTTTTTGAGACAGGGTCTTGCTCTGTCACCCAGGCTGGAGTGCAGTGGTGCAATCTTGGCTCACCACAGCCTTGACCTTCCAGGCTCAAGCAATCCTCCCACCTCAGGCCTTTACCCCACCTGGACCCCTGTCAGTAGCTGGGACTACAGGTGGCTAATTTTTGTATTTTTTGTAGAGACAGGGTTTAACCATGTTGCCCAGGCTGGTCTCGAATGAATTCCTGGACTCAAGCAGTCTGCCCACCTCAGCCTCTCAAAGTGCTGGGATTACAGGCATTAGCCACCATGCCTAGAAATGATTTTAATAACATTTTCTTTTCTCTAGCTTACTTTATTGTAAGAATACACTACTTAATACATATCAAAATATGTGTTAATCAGCTGTTTATGTTATTCATAAGGCTTCCAGTCAACTGTAGGCTAATTAGTAGTTAAGCTTTTAGGGAGCCAAAAGTCATGTAGATATTTTACCCCTAAACCTCACAGTGTTTGAAGGTTAACTAATACAAACATCAAAATGAATGGAAACTTTATAAAGGAGTATATGCTATATGATTATATTTAAATCAAATTGAAAAGCAGACAAAACAAATGCAGGGTGTTACAAGTCAGAACAGTGATGACTTTTAAGGGAGGTAGTAGCTGAAAGGGGAAAGGAGAGGAGTTCTAGACAGCTGGTCTTAATCTGTTACATGTGTTCACTTTATGAAAATGCACTGAACTAGGCCGGGCACGGTGGCTCACGCCTGTAATCCCAGCACTTTGAGAGGCCGAGGCAGGTAGATCACCTAAGGTCAGGAGTTTGAGCCCAGCCTGGCCAACATGGTGAAACCCCGTCTCTACTAAAAACGTACAAAAATTAGCTGGGCGTGGTGGTGCGCCAGCTACTCGGGAGGCTGAAGCAGGAGAATCGCTTGAACCCAGGAGATGGAGGTTCCAGTGAGCCGAGATCGCGCCATTGCATTCCAGCCTGGGCGACAAGAGCAAAACTCCATCTCAAAAAAAAAAGAAAAAAGAAAAGAAAATGCACTAAACTGTACTAATAATGTCTGCCTTTTTCAGTCTGTTAGACTCCAATAACAATTTTTAGAAAGAACTATTAAAAAGGGGGACGGAAGGAAGGTGAAGAAATATAAGTGAGCTCAAATTCAACAGTGTCAAGTGCCGATAAATCTGGAAGTCACAGAATAAGCTCATTATTTGTAAGAACTAAAACATTGTCTTTGCACATTACATTAATATTCTGTCCACGCTTATGACTTTTGATAGCCCTGAGCAAAGTAAGGGTTCACGTTCAGACTTCAATTTAGTTTGAATGATTAGAGCTGCGTACTCAATACACATCTGTTTCCTTTGCAAATATATCCTAGTCCTGGACCAGTTCCACATGAATTTAATGTTTTTTTCTGGGCAAATAAAAGATTAAATACCTATCATGATTAAACATTTAAACAAGTGAGCTACTGGTGTGTATTAAAAATAGAGCTTTTTAAAGGATATCCCCAAACTTACCACTTGTAGTAGGTACTAAAACTAAAAGGAGCATATTGAGGAGGTGAGGAGCTAGAAATTATGATAAAAGTAACAAATAATAAAAACAGCTCTGTAATTGCTAGAATGTTACTATAAGGGGCAGTTACCCATCCAAACTTAATAACTAGCAAAACAAAAAAAATATGTCATAGAATATAAAGTATCTTTTTTCTTTTTGCTGGGCGCCATGGCTCAGGCCTGTAATCCTAGCACTTTGGGAGGCTGAAGGTGGGGGTGGGTAGTGGGGGTGGAGGGGAACACAAGGTCAGGAGTTTGAGACCAGCCTGGACAATATGGTGAAACCACATCTCTACTGAAAATAAATAAATAAATAAAAAATACAAAATACAAAAAGTAGCCGGGCGTGGTGGTGGGTGCCTGTAGTGCCAGCTACTCAGGAGGCTGAGGCAGGAGAAACGCTTGAACCCGGGAGGCAGAGGGGCCAAGATCACGCCACTGCACTCCAGCCTGAGGGACAGAGTGAGACTCCATCTCAAAAAAAAAAAAAAAAAAAGTTGTGTTTTTGTTTTTTTGTTTTTTTTTACTTTAAGTCCTGGGATACATGTGCAGAACATGCAGGTTTGTTAAACACACGTGCAGAACATGCAGGTTTGTTACATACATGTGCAGAACATGCAGGTTGTATACACATGCTGTGGTGGCTTGCTGTACCTATCAACCCATCATTTAGGTTTTAAGCTAAAACATCTTTTTAATCATGCCAATGATAATACTTTTACCTAATATAATTGATTCATCTACCAGAAATAACACAGGAACCAACATCAGTAACTAAACCTTTTTGAAAAATCACCTCCACGAAAATCTTACAATTAAAATTTAAAATTACTTCAGCTCCTTAAATTTTCACCAGTCTGATATCTACATTCTTATAGGAAGACGTTTTAATAGCCTACAGTAGTCAACTCTAACTGATGAATTCCAAGGGATTCCAATCAAAATGCCAATCATAAATTTTCTAGAAAATGATGAATGACTTCAGAATACACTGAGAAGCATGAGAATGAATAGCTATGAAAATTCTAAAAACAAGAATTACAAAGAATCTGCCTCAATATTATGACATATAAAGATACAGTGAAACAATATGCCACAGTTGCCAAAAGACACATCAATGGAGCAAAAGACAGCCCAACAACAGACCCAAGACTGTGATAAAATTTAGACATAGCATTTGTATCTGTGGAGAAAAGACAGGTGATTTAATAAAAAATGATGAAACAATTGTCTAGCTTTTTGCTTTAAAAAAAAAAAAAAAAAGGTTCCCAGCCAGATGTGGTGGCCCACGCCTGTAATCCCAGCACTTTGGGAGGCCAAGGCGGGCAGATCATGAGGTCAAGATATCGAGACCATCCTGGCCAACATGGTGAAACCCGTCTCTACTAAAAATACAAAAATTAGCTGGGCATGGTGTGCCTGTAGTCCCAGCTACTCAGGAGGCTGAGGCAGGAGAATTGCTTGAACCTGGAGGTGGAGGTTGTAGTGAGCCAAGATCA